>NT_113891.3:3900000-4200000 GCF_000001405.40 Homo sapiens
AATTTTGAAATAAACTGCATAAAGCAAAAAAGTAAAAATGAAGATCTTGAACCTGCATTGATTGAATGGATTCATCAAGAAAGCAGTGAATTTATGCAACTGTCTAGGTTTTTTTTTTTCGGCAATGAAACAAGCAAAACTAAGCCATGAAGAGCTGAACTAAGAGATAAATGTGTTTTAAAAGTGTGAGTATAGAATTTTTAGAAGAAACACAATGTAAACCAGTGTTCTCAGCCTTGGCACTATTGACATTTTGGACTAGATAATATTTTCTTGGTGAGAGGAGCTGTCTACTAGGGTCCCTAGCTTCTACTTGTTACATGTCAGAAGAAACTCCTGGTGTGACAACCAAAAATGGCTCCAGACATTGCCAAATGTTCCCTAGGGAGTTGGGAGAGGGAAGGGAGGGACAGAGGGGTGGTGAACTATCCCTGGGTGAGACCCACTAGTGTAACCATCTGAAACATCTATGGTTAAAAAGCCGCTATTAATTATGGAATATTTGAGATTTACACTGAAAACTCTGCCAATATTCTATCTATTTAAAATCTTGGTCCTACATAAAACTTAGGATTTTTAGGAATCTGGTCCCAGTGCAGAGCTATTTTTCTAGCAAAATTAATTCATTCAGAACCAAGGTTTACTGATTTATTTGCCTTGCCAGTCGCCAAGTCATATTCTTAATTTCTGTGTCACTGGTCCACTACTCACTGCCTCAGCTAATTCATTTTCTAACTTTCAGTTTCCTACTCCCAACAATACAAGGAGGCATCAAATTACCAACCTTGGACAGAGGCAGAACTCTTATTTCTGTAGTTAAGCCTTCTCAGAAGGGGAGTGCTATGGTTTGGCTGCGTAAGCATTTCAATCTTGTCTTGAATTGTAGCTCCCACAATTCCCAAGTGTTGTGGGAGGGACCAGGTGGGAGATAGTTGAGTCATGGGGGCAGGTCTTTCCCCATGCTGTTCTCATGACAGTGAATAAGTCTTATGAGATCTGATGGTTTTATAAAGGGAAAAACCCTTTTGCTTGCTGTCATTCTTCTCTTGTCTGCCATCATGTGAGACATGCCTTTCACCTTCCGCTGTGATTGTGAGGTCTCCCCAGCCACGTGGAACTGTGAGTCTATTATAGCCCTTTTTCCTTATAAATTATCCAGTCTTGAGTATGTCTTTATCCGCAGCCTGAAAACAGACTAATACAGGGAGAAACTAAGAAGATGGCATTCTCTCATAGATAGTTTCCAAAAAACGAGCAAGTCCCCAGATTTTGAGTAGAGACTTTCACAAGCTCCCTTCACCCTTCAGAAATGATAGCAGAGAGGAGAGCACTTTGGATGAGATAAGGTCTATCTTATTATTCCTAAATTCTCTGAGCACCTTCTTCACAGATAAGAATGTTGGAAAATAAAAATATGTGAAGTTGCTGTCACTGTAGCTTGCATGGTTAGCACTGCAGTCTATGCTCATGTGCCAAGCTTAGATTGCCATATTTAGCAAATAAAAATAGAGGGTGCCTAGTTAAATTTGGATTTCAAATACATTATTGTTGTTTATCTGAAGTTCGGATTTAACTGGGTATCCTGTACTATATTTGGCAACCTGAGCCCAACTTGCTAATAATGCTCAGAAGGAGTGAATTTAATACTTCTTTGTGTTCTTTAACACATGCCTATGACAGCGTGCACATAGGGAAGTTTTCAAATGATAAATGCAAAATGAATGAAAGTTTCTCCTTTACATTGGGACTAGCAGACCTTGCATCTCTCTCCCACCCTGAGACACACCCTGTACATAAGAAATTCTATCAATAATTCAGACTCAGTCTAGTCACTATTCACTAATGGTGGTTGTAAGCTCAGGCTCTAGAATCAGGAAATCTGAATTTAAACATGACCCCTTCTACTAGGGTTAATTTTAACAACCATTAACCTTTAAAAATATATATAAAATGGATCCAACAGTAATATATTCCTCACAGGATTATTGTTGAGGGTAAAACTAAGTAGTGGCTCTTCTTAGTGCTGATAATATAATAATCACTCTAATATATTACCATTTTATTTTTACAATCCCTATAAAGGAAAGCTTCATTATTTTTCTATTCCTTAACTTCTAAAGCAAGTAACATCTAGATCATGATTTGGCAATTGTCTTTTATTAATTTATCACTAATTACCATTTTAAACACATGAGGGCAGAAACACTGGTTTATGTATAATAGTTCATATGCCTAAACCTCACACAAAAGGAGAGTGCTGATGTCAAAGAGAGGGAATTTGTATATACTCAGATTAAAATTGCAATCTGATTTCTAGCACTAACTTTGTGACAGTGGGTAAGTTACTTACACCCTTTGAATTTTAGATTCCAAAGATGTATATGCTTTTAAATACCAAAGATATGATAGGATAGGTATTAGATTTCCATACCAAAATTTATAAGCCTGGTAATTAGTCACTGCAAAATATTACAATACTCCACGCTAATACAGACCAGATTTGCTTTGTTTATTACTCCATTCTCATCACCCAGAGTAATAACTAGTATATTCTAAGTCACTAATAAATATTGGCTGTATGAACTAATAGCCTTTTGCATAACCTGTCACCACTGTACACAGGGGCCTTCTAGTGCTTCATTGCCAATGACTGAGCATCTGTCTCTGGTTCGCAGGTCATCCTGCTTCTCTTCAGCTTCTTTGTTCATTTTCTTTAGGTCCAGCTGGCTCCCTGATCCCAGAGCATAGTCTTTCCCTGAGGCTCGCTACTCAAAAGAGTCAAACTTCATCCAGCCCTCACTTCTTCCACCCGCTCTTCAAATGGTCCAATCTACTTTCCATCCTGGATACTCCACTGACTGCAAATATCAACTCCTTCAAACGCAGCACTTGCTTCTCTGTCACGTTCTCACTTCACTCACCTGTCGGTGGTTCTCACCACAACTGGCCACTCCCTCACCTCGAAAAAATCATTTGTCTTTGATTCCCATGCATCACATTCTCTTGGGTTTTTTTTTTTCTCCAGCATCTCTGGGGAATCTTCTCAGTCCCTTATGCTGTCCTGTGGCCCTCTGATATTTTTTCTACACAAAAATCTATCTCCCTCTGCAACCTCTTCCACTTCCCTGGAATTTAACACAGAACCTGCATCGACCCCAACATAAATACCTCCAACCCTGGCCTCACCCTGAACTCCTCTCTTATATTCAGTTGACTTCCTGATTGCTTCATGTGAGTTCAAAAATCATCTCAATTTTAATAAACACAATTGTCATTTCTAATCACCCACTTCAAATCATTTCCTCCCACATTCTTCCCTATTTCAATAAGCAGCACCACCATCCACCTATTTATCAAGGCAAAATACTTAGAAATAAGTTACATTTAATCCATTAACAAGTCATGCAAAAAGACATCCCAAGTCTGTTCACTTTATCTGGATCTGTCTTTGTCACTACTACACTACATGAAGCCAAAAATTTGTCTTCCCTGGAGAATTCTGCTGTTCTCCAGTTGTGAACCCCAACAATCCAATCTCCACATAGTAGCTAGAATTATTTTTAAAATTGAACATTATCGGGGGACCTGCCCTGATAATCACGTAGGTTCTTTTCTATTTTCCTCAGCGTCAGCTGGCTTGAGAAATAAAGGGACAGAGTACAAAAGAGAGAAATTTTAAAGCTGGGGGAGACATCACACGTTGGTAGGATCCACGATGCCCCACAAGCCACAAAAACCAGCAAGTTTTTATTAGGGATTTTCAAAAGGGGAGGGAGTGTGCGAATAGGTGTGGGTGACAGACATCAAGTACTTAACAGGGTAATAGAATATCACAAGGTAAGTGGAGGCAGGGTGAGATCACAGGACCACAGGACCAAGGCGAAATTAAAATTGCTAATGAAGTTTCAGGCACCATTGTCATTGATAACATCTTATCAGGAGACAGGGTTTTGAGATCAACCGATCTGACCAAAATTTATTAGGTGGGAATTTCCTCTTCCTAATAAGCCTGGGAGCGCTATGGGAGACTGGAGTCTATCTCACCTCTGCAATCTCGACCATAAGAGATAGGTACGCCCCGGGGGGCCAGTTCAGAGACCTACCCCTAGGTGCGCATTCTCTTTCTCAGGGACGTTCCATGCTGAGAAAAAGAATTCAGCAATATTTCTCCCATTTGCTTTTGAAAGAAGAGAAATATGGCTCTGTTCTGCCTGGCTCACCGGCAGTCAGAGTTTAAGGTTATCTCTCTTATTCCCTGAACAATTGCTGTTATCCTGTTCTTTTTCAAGGTGCCTACATTTCATATTGCTCAACACACATGCTGTACAATTTGTGCAGTTAATGCAATTATCACATAGTCCTGAGGTGACATACATCCTCCTCGGCTGACAGGATTAAGAGATTAAAGGAAAGACAGGCATAGGAAATCACAAGGGTATTGATTGGGGAAGTGATAAGTTTCCATGAACTCTTTACAATTTATGTTTAGAGATTGCAGTAAAGACAGGCATAAGAAATTACAAAAGTATTAATTTGGGGAACTAATAAATGTGCATAAAATCTTCACAATCCACGTTCTTCTGTCATGGCTTCAGCCGGTCCCTCTGTTTGGGGTCCCTGACTTCCCGCAACATAATATTAATGGACTCTCCTTGTAACCTCCCAGGAGCTTCCAATATGTTTAAATAAAACTTAATTCCTTACTATGGCCACCAAGGCCGAATATGATGCAGCTCCTGACTTTCTCTCTCTCTTACCTCATCTTCTGCCACTCCACCCCTTGCTTTCCATCCTTCAGCCCCTCTAACCTTCTTTCTGTCTCTTCAACACAGCACACGCCTTCCCATTCCTTGGCCTTTCCCCTTTTCTGTCTGTCTGGAACACTTGTCCCTTAGATCTTCACATGGCTGTCTTATTGTTCTTGTCTCAGCTAAATGTGAGCTCTCCTCAGAGAGGGCTCCCAAACTACCTGTGAATCCAATGTGAAGTGAAGTTGGGTGAATCCAATTCTCTCTGTCCTATCACCCTGATGTCTTTTTTTTTAAAGGCAATATTGCTCTCTGAATTTTTCTTTTTTGTTAAATATTTATTGGGATACTGTCTGTCTCCTCTGGTATTGAGTTCCATGAGAGTAGGGATCTTTTTTATCTTATTCAAGTAGAATTCTCTGAGCCTAGAACAGAGACCAGAACATAACTTTTGCTCAGAAACATACCTGTGGTCTAAATGAATAAACCGAAGTTCTGGGAACTGATCACCCTGGGTATTCTAGAAAGCAGAAAAGGGCTCAAGCTCCTGCACCCTTTCATTCTAATGACATGCTATATCCCTTCTCCTCCCTGTGAGAAATTAAGGCAAACTTCCTTTCTCTCCTCTTTCTAGTTGGAAGAAGGATTCACAGATAAGGAAACAGTGATTGTAAGAAAGAAAAAATTTTCATTGAGAATTATCTCTTTTCTGCCGGGCGCAGTGGCTCATGCCTGTAATCTTAGCACTTTGGGAGGCTGAGGCAGGCGGATCATGAGGTAAGGAGTTTGAGAACAGCCTGGCCAACATGGTGAAACCCCGTCTCTACTAAAAATACAAAAATTACCTGGGAGGTGGAGGTTGCAGTGAGCTGAGACTGCACCATTGCACTCCAGCCTGGGCAACAGAGCGAGACTCCATCTTAAAAAAAAAAAAAAAAAAGAATTATCTGTTTTTTTTTTAATAGTTTAAGTTTTAGGGTACATGTGCACAACGTGCAGGTTTGTTACATATGTATACATGTGCCACGTGGTGTGCTGCACCCATTAACTCTTCATTTACATTAGGTATATCTCCTAATGCTATCCCTCCCCTCTTCCTCCACCCCACAACAGGCCCCAGTGTGTAAAGTTCCCCTTCCTGTGTCCATGTGTTTTCATTGTTCAGTTCCCACCTATGAGTGAGAACATGTGGTGTTTGTTTTTTTGTCCTTGCAATAGTTTTCTGAGAATGATGGTTTCCAGCTTCATCCATGTCCCTGCAAAGGACATGAACTCATCCTTTTTTATGGCTGCATAGTATTCCATGGTGTATATGTGCCACATTTTCTTAATCCAGTCTATCATTGTTGGACATTTGGGTTGGTTCCAAGTCTTTGCTATTGTGAATAGTGCCACAATAAACATACATGTGCATGTGTCTTTATAGCAGCATGATTTATAATCCTTTGGGTATATATCCAGTAATGGGATTGCTGGGTCAAATGGTATTTCTAGTTCTAGATCATTGAGGAATCGCCACACTGACTTCCACAATGGTTGAACTAGTTTACAGTCCCACCAACAGTGTAAAAGTGTTCCTATTTCTCCACAACCTCTCCAGCACCTGTTGTTTCCTGACTTTTTAATGAACGCCATTCTAACAGGTGTGAGATGGTATCTCATTGTGGTTTTGATTTGCATTTCTCTGATGGCCAGTGTTGATGAGCATTTTTTCATGTGTCTTTTGGCTGCATAAATGTCTTCTTTTGAGAAGTCTCTGTTCATATCCTTCGCCCACATGTTGATTGGGTTGTTTGTTTTTTTCTTGTAAATTTGTTTGAGTTTTTTGTAGTTTCTGGGTATTAGCCCTTTGTCAGATGAGTAGATTGCAAAAATTTTCTCCCATTCTGTAGGTTGCCTGTTCACTCTGATGGTAGTTTCTTTTGCTGTGCAGAAGCTCTTTAGTTTAATTAGATCCCATTTGTCAATTTTGGCTTTTGTTGCCATTGCTTTTGGTGTTTTAGACATGAAGTCCTTGCCCATGCCTATGTCCTGAATGGTATTGCCTAGGTTTTCTTCTAGGGTTTTTATGGTTTTAGGTCTAACATTTAAGTCTTTAATCCATCTTGAATTAATTTTTGTATAAGGTGTAAGGAAGGGATCCAGTTTCAGCTTTCTACATATGACTAGCCAGTTTTCCCAGCACCATTTATTAAATAGGGAATCCTTTCCCCATTTCTTGTTTTTGTAAGGTTTGTCAAAGATCAGATAGTTGTAGATATGTGGCATTATTTCTGAGGGCTCTGTTCTGTTCCCTTGATCTATATCTCTGTTTTGGTACCAGTACCATGCTGTTTTGGTTACTGTAGCCTTATAGTATAGTTTGAAGTCAGGTAGCATGATGCCTCCAGCTTTGTTCTTTTGGCTTAGGATTGACTTGGCAATGAGGGCTCTTTTTTCGTTCCATATGAACTTTAAAGTAGTTTTTTCCAATTCTGTGAAGAAAGTAATTGGTAGCTTGATGGGGATGGCATTGAATCTATAAATTACCTTGGGTAGTATGGCCATTTTCATGATATTGATTCTTCCTACCCATGAGCATGGAATATTCTTCCATTTGTTTGTGTCCTCTTTTATTTCATTGAGCAGCAGTTTGTAGATCTCCTTGAAGAGATCCTTCACATCCCTTGTAAGTTGGATTCCTAGGTATTTTATTCTCTTTGAAGCAATTGTGAATGGGAGTTCACTCATGATTTGGCTCTCTGTTTGTCTGTTATTGGTGTACAAGAATGCTTGTGATTTTTGCACATTGATTTTGTATCCTGAGACTTTGCTGAAGTTGCTTATCAGCTTAAGGAGATTTTGGGCTGAGACGATGGGGTTTTCTAGATATACAATCATGTCATCTGCAAACAGGGACAATTTGACTTCCTCTTTTCCTAATTGAATACCCTTTATTTCCTTCTCCTGCCTGATTGCCCTGGCTAGAACTTCCAACACTATGTTGAATAGGAGTGGTGAGAGAGGACATCTTTGTCTTGTGCCCGTTTTCAAAGGGAATGCTTTCAGTTTTTGCCCATTCAGTATGATATTGGCTGTGGGTTTGTCATAAATAGCTCTTATTACTTTGAGATACATACCATCAATACCTAATTTATTGAGAGTTTTTAGCATGAAGGGTTGTTGAATTTTGTCAAAGGCCTTTTCTGCATCTATTGAGATAATCATGTGGTTTTTGTCGTTGGTTCTGTTTATGTGCTGGATTACCTTTATTGATTTGCATTTGTTGAACCAGCCTTGCATCCCAGGGATGAAGCCCACTTGATCATGGTGGATAAGCTCTTTGATATGCTGGTGGATTTGGTTTGCCAGTATTTTATTGAGGATCTTTGCATCGATGTTCATCAGGGATATTGGTCTAAAATTCTCTTTTTTTTTGTTGTGTCTCTGCCAGGCTTTGGTATCAGGATGATGCTGGCCTCATAAAATGAGTTAGGGAGGATTCTCTCTCTTTCTATTGATTGGAATAGTTTCAGAAGGAATGGTACCAGCTCCTCCTTGTACCTCTGATAGAATTCGGCTGTGAATCCGTCTGGTCCTGGACTTTTTTGGTTGGTAAGCTATTAATTATTGCCTCAATTTCCGAGCCTGTTATTGGTCTATTCAGAGATTCAGCTTCTTCCTGGTTTAGTCTTGGGAGAGTGTATGTGTCGAGGAATTTATCCATTTCTTCTAGATTTTCAAGTTTATTTGCGTAGAGGTGTTTATAGTATTCTCTGATGGTAGTTTGTATTTCTGTGGGATCGGTGGTGATACCCCTTTATCATTTTTTATTGCATCTATTTGATTCTTCTCTCTTTTCTTCTTTATTAGTCTTATTAGCGGTCTATCAATTTTGTTGATCTTTTCAAAAAACAAGCTCCTGGATTCATTGATTTTTTGAAGGGTTTTTTGTGTCTCTATTTCCTTCAGTTCTGCTCTGATCTTAGTTATTTCTTGCCTTCTGCTAGCTTTTGAATGTGATCGCTCTTGCTTCTCTAGTTATTTTAATTTTGATGTTAGGTTGTCAGTTTTAGATCTTTCCTGCTTTCTCTTGTGGGCATTTAGTGCTATAAATTTCCCTCTACTTTAAAGCTAGAATTAGTTTCTAAAACTGAACATGAATTGACTCTCCTTGTAACCATCCAGTAGCGTCTCACATCTATTTAAATAAAATTCAGGCTGGGTACGGAGACTAATGACTGTAATCCCAGCAGTTTGGGAAGCCAAGACAGGCAGATTACCGGAGGTCAGGAGTTCGAGACCAGCCTGGCCAACATGGTAAAACCCTGTCTTTACTAAAAATACTAAAAAATTAGCCTGGCATGGTGGCAGGCGCCTGTAGTTCCAGCTACTCGGGAGGCTGAGGCAGGAAAATCACGTGAGCCCAGGAGGCAGAGGTTGCAGTGAGCCGAGGCCACGCCATTGCATCCAGCCTGGGCAACAAGAACGAAACTCCATCTCAAAAAATAAATAATGAAATAAAAAAATGAAAATAAATAAAATAAAATTCAAATTTCTTACCATGGACATCAGAGCCTAATATAATGAGGCTCCTGACTTCCTCTCTGCTTCCTACCTCATCCTCTGCCTCTGCATTTCTTTGAATGCTATAGTTCAGTCTCTCTAGCCTTCTTTCTGTCCCTGCACATAATTTCCCACACCAGGGCTTCCCACCCCCCCTGCCCCCACATTCTGTCTCCCTGGAACTTTCGTCCCTTAGATCTTCACATGGCTCTCTACTTATTTTGTTGTCTCAGCTGAATGTCACTTTCTCAGGCAGAGCTTTCTAAACACATGAGCTAAAGTTGGGTGAATCCATTTCTCTCTTTTCCACAAACCTGATGTCTTTTCTTCAGTGCACTATTACTCTCTAATGTTATCTTCTTTGTTAATTGCATATTGGGTTAATGTCTGTCTCCTCTATTGTTGTGTAACTTCCATGAGAGTCGGGACCCTCTCTATCTTAATCAAATACAATGATTTGAACTTGGAATGGAGCCGAGTACACAGTAGCTGCTGAGAAAAATAAGTGTGGTTTACATGAATAAACCAGGGATCTAGGAACTGATCACTGTTTGGATCCTGGAAAGCAAGAAGGGGCTCAAACTCCAGCACTCTTTCATTTTGATGTCACACTAGACCCCTTCTCCTCCCGGTGTGAAATACAGGCAAAGTTCTTCTTTCTCCTCCTTCTAGTTGTAAGAATTCACAGATAAAGATTAACAGTGATTTAAGAAATAATAAATTTTTAAATTAAGATTCATCTATTTTTTGCCTGGGTGCGGTGGCTCAAACCTATAACCCAAGCATGTTGGGAGGTCAAGGCTGGAGGATTGCTTGAGTCCAGCAGTTTAAGACCAGCCTGGGTAACATAGCAAAGTCTCATCTCTAGCAAAATTACAAAAATCAGCTGGGCGTGGTTTCCTGCCTGTAGTCTCCACTACTCTGGAGGCTGAGGAGGGAGGCCCGCTTGAGCCTGGGAGGCAGAGGTTGCAGTAAGCCTAGATCATAACACTGAACTACAGCATGGGTGACAGAGCCAGGCCTTGTCTCAAAAAAAGGAAAAAATCTCTTTCAATGGATCTCATAGTGCTCTGGGTCTGTGCAAGCTTTAGGAATTTCTGGAAATGATGACAACATAGCTGGGGAAAAATAAAAACTGGAGGAAGAGGTAAGCAGACATGGCTAATTAAGGAAAGCTGAGGGCATGACGGGTGAACCTAGGAAATTTAAGACAAGACCCCAGTAAGACAATGAGTTCCCAGGACTTGCCCATTGACTTTCAGCCCTATGAGATGTGAACAATGTCCACATTGTCTCTGTAACCCCACACAGTATATAGTTTGAACATTATTAAATTTCTGATATTTGACTGTTTTTGACTTACAAAAATAGAATTTCATATAATTTATCTTACGTTAGTTGAATATCTTCTTGTTATGTCTAGTTAGAGCATGTAGGACATGTAGGAGAAATTTCTATAGAAAGGTTAGAAGAGATTCATAATAAACACTAAGCCGGGCCAGGTTTTCCGAGGATGCCTTAAGTTCTTTAGGCACCAAAGAACACCCCAGAGATGCTCTTTATCTGTAGGGTGACTCCAAGTACTAAAGATCTTAGCTTCAGTTCCAGGGATTTTTCCCCATAAGAAAGACAGAGCACTAAGTATAACTTCTGTCAGAGAACCTACATACACTACAGGGATATAGGCTTTATAAACATTGGAGTTCAGAAAGAAAAAGAAAGGAGATAATGGGGAGGCCATTGGTACATCCTCACATTTGAGGAAGAGGGGCCAACACCAAAGTTCCTGTGGAGGACATGACCCAGGATCCTCTAGAAGAAACGCTTTGAATTATCTTGACTCCCACAAAATTTTCAGTAAAAACGTCATTTTGTCTGACGTAAGTCAACATAATAAAGGGAAGTGCTGTATGGGGAAATTATTTTAGCATCCTTATTGCCAAATCCTCTAAACACCCTGAGGACATGTGATGCAAAGGTTTTATTGGTGGAGATTTAAAAAGAAATGATCTGTACGAAGGCCCCTTACACAGTCTCATGGACTGTGTCATGAGCAAGTAGTCAAGCTCCTTTCGTGGAGGAGATAATTTGGGATCCAATAATACAGATGCACAATCTCTGACCAAAACGTCACAAAGTCTTAAGGGACATGGCCTGGGCACAATGTTAACAAAACTCCCTATTTTCCCCACCCCATAGTAGCTCAGCACCCACAATGTGCGCTTATGTCGGGTGTCCCCAGCCAAAGCCAGTGGGAAGCTCAGCACCATCAGTGTCACTGTCAGCGCTGCCATGCAGGAGCCTCCAGGGAGCTTCAGACACACCATGCTGGAGAACAGGAAAGGACCAGGGGCCAGAGGAGGAGGCAAGTCTTACTCAGGAAGAACTATGAACCCCTCCACCCACATTCCAAATTATGGGGAGGAAGTTACTGACTTTCTTGCTCCTGGGTCGGGTAATCTCGTGTTGGAGAACCAATCAGCATCTGAGTTCAATAGCATCATCAGTTGCTGGTCAGAGATGCTGTATGAAGGTCCTCTTCTGAAACAGAATTTCCTTCTTTAAAGGATTGTTTTTAAATTAGTGCTTGAAAGATTTGATCCAGTTGCATGTAAAACACTTTAATTGGGTCCGATTGTGAGCCAGCTCTGTGCTGGTCAGTGATGTGTTCGTAAGTTTGAGCCTTGTAAGAGCATTCATTTCCCACTTGACAAGACAACTGTTTGCAGAAGTGAGTGTGTGAGTGTGTTTAGGAGTAAAGGAGATGGAAGGAACATGGTTGTAAATCCGGAGACATTTAAACTGGTCCTTATTGCACCATATCTTAATGTTGTAGATTTGGGAAAATTATTTCATGTCTCACAGTTGAAATGAAGGCACTGTGATCTTTCAGGTCTTTCAATACTGGAAAATGCTGTGATTCTGTGGACGCCTGAAGGAGCAGCAGCCCCGGGTATCTGATAACATGACAGAATGACAGCTATTGACTAGAGAGCTTAATCCGTACCTGTTTACAGGTAGGGATGTCTTTAATAAGTTAAAGGAAATTGAAAGTTTGTTAATAATTTAATCTGAGTAAAAATATCTTTTTCAAGTGTGTCTCCTGATGCTGCCCCCAGGTTTAGTGGCCCCTCCAGAACACACACAGGCAAGGGGCTAACAGGGGCCACCTATGTGCAATGGAGGGCCTGAAGGTGGCTTTGTATGGCATTTACCCTAACAATGTGATAAGGTCAACTGTGCAATCCAAGTATTCATGGGTCTGAGAGATCGATCGAAGACTGTGAAAGTCAGCTGTTCATAGAACAACTCTTTTTTTTTTTTGAGATGGAGTCTGTCTCTGTTGCCCAGGCTGGAGTGCAGTGGAGCGATCTCAGCTCACTGCAACATCTGCCTCCTCGGTTCAAAGATTCTCCTGCCTCAACCTCCCAAGTAACTCTGACTACAGGCACTTGCCACCATGCTTGGCTAATTTTTTGTATTTTTAGTGGAGATGGGTTTCACTGTGTTAGCCAAGATGGTCTCGATCTCCTGACCTCATGTTCTTCCTGCCTCGGCCTCCCAAACTGCTGGGTTACAGGCGTGAGCCATCGTGCCTGGCCACATTATGTTTTAAAATAATGAATATTTTATGTGAAGAGTGTTCAATCCCTCATTCTTGGTTCCCATTATGATTTCCTCATTTGATTGAGGCTATAGCACTTTATATTATGTTTCTCTTGTTTTATCATAAGGGAAGATACAAGACGACTTTGCTAACTAATACATTTCACAATATTCAGGAAAGAGAACACTAGGGAAAACTATGAATTACATCAGTTGATGTAACTATGTAATATTAAACATATTATTATACATTTAGATAATTACTATGCTTTTTATTAATATAAATATAACATCTAAGATTCAGAATGGACTTCAGAATACAACTATGCTTATAAAGTTCTGCATTAATTCACATGCTACCACATAGGCACTCATTTGTCTTTTTTTTGTTTGTTTGTTTGTTTTGAGATGGAGACTCGTTCTGTCGCCCAGGCTGGAGTGCAGTGGCACCATCTCTGCTCACTGCAAGCTCAGCCCCCCAGGTTCATGCCATTCTCCTGCCTCAGCCTCCTGGGTAGCTGGGACTACAGGCGCCCGCCACAACTCCTGGCTAATTTTTTTGTATTTTTAGTAGAAACAGGGTTTCACCGTGTTCGCCAGGATGGTCTCAATCTCCTGACCTTGTGATCTGCCTGCCTCAGCCTCCGAAAGTGCTGGGATTACAGGCGTGAGCCACCGCGGCCGGCCTAAAGTCTGTAACCTGTCTTTATGGAGAACTACTTTTGAGGCCGTACACTTCTTTCAGTAACAATATTGTCTAAGTAATGGTATGGCGAAGTTGTTTGTACCTTTTCTGGAGCTATATTGACATTCCATTTAGTTAAAGCCTACTTTGTTTCTTGGAATAACTGATGTAAGATTTGATCTGTAGGAGCGGCCAAAAGAATGTCATCCATAAAATGAATGATGTAAGCAGTAGGAAACATATTTCGGGCTCCTTTAATGCCTGTCCTACAAAATGCTGACATAACGTAGGACTGTTAAGCATGCCTTGGGGTAAAACTCTCCATTGATAGCAAGAAACAGGTTCTTTTTGATTAATAGAAGGCACAGAGAAGGCAAATCGAGGCTTATCCTTCTTGTGTAATGGTATAGTGAAGAAACAATCCTTAAGATGTATTACTACAAGAAGCCAATCTCTAGGAATGACCACTGGAGTTGGCAAACCTTGCTGTAATGGACCCATTGGTTCAATTTGTGCATTAACTCCAAGCATGCAGCAGTCACCACCTTCCGGACTTTTTTGGAATAACAAACACTGGTGAATTCTGGGGGCTTACTGACTCCTCTACATGTCCTGTGTCCTGTTGTTCTTATACTAGCTGCTGAAGTTGTGTCAGCTTCTCCTGAGATAGGGGCCATTGATCCACACATACGGGTTTGTCACTGGCCATTCTAATGGTAAGGCAGAGGGTGGAGGAGAAATATCAATGACCCTCATCAGAAATCCTGACGACCTAGCCCTCTTCTGTTTTTTCCAGTTATTGATGTTGGGTTAGCTTTTCCTCGTAGGAATTTCCCTAAACCTTTCCCACTCTGATATCCCATGTCCTTCAACATTTTAAATTCTGGGTTATCAAAGTTTTCATTTGTAAGTCTCATATTCCATGCTGTAAGTAAGTCTCGATCCCATAAATTGATTGCCATATTTGCAACATAAGGCTGAAAAGTACATGGCTGTCCATCCGGACCAAGACAAGGTAAAATGTCAGCACTCTGTTGAACACTTTTAGCTGCTCCTACTCCCACTAGGGATGTGGAGGTTAGTCTGAGAGACCATACTGGGGGTCAGTCCTTACTGGATATTACTGACACTTCAGCTCCTCTATCCATAAGTCCTATGGGCTATGGGATGGGATAGATAGACTTCCCTTGTAGTTGTGCTCCCAAACCCTTTATTTCCTCGTTTCTCCTTTCATGGAGAAGGATTTAATTTGCAGGGAATAAGCAACGACCGAGCAATATATTCTCCCAGTTCAAAAATGCAAAGATTTTCGACATTAAAACTACTTGAATTTCTCCTTCATAAATGGAATCAACTATTCCAGGGACTACAGTCATGCCTTGCAAGTTAAGGGGGCTTTTGCCTAAAATTAGTCCTATGTATCCTGTTGGTAAATATCCCCAAATGCCAGTGGGAACCTTGGTAGGTTTGTCTCCTCCAACTAATGTAGTTCTTTCTCTGGTGGGGATATCTAATCCTGCACTTCCTGGTGTTCCTGAGGTGAGGAACACCAGGAATCAATGTTTTTCCTGAGACCCATCCCTGAAGTGGGACTGTGGTCTGAACTGGAAATGCCCTCATTGTTTGAGGGGCCCGGGTCCAGGCCCCCTTCTAGTTTCCCGACATGGGGATGCTGTTTCGATGAAATTTTGAGCAGCCCTGATTAGCCTAGTGATTTCCTTTGTTACAGTGAGGACAAAGTCCTGGTGTTTTTTTCCGCTGGGTGGGGCACTGCATCGTAATGTCCTTTCTGTCCTGAGATCTGGCGGAATTCCTTTTTAAAATGTCCAGTTTTGGCTGGACACGGTGGCTCATGCCTGTAATCCAAGCACGTTGGGAGGCCAAGGTGGGCGGATTACAAGGTCAGGAGATCGAGACCATCCTGGCTAACATGGTGAAACCCCATCTCTTAAACAAATACAAAAAATTAGCTGGGTGTAGTGGCAGGTGCCTGTAGTCCCAGCTACTTGGGAGGCTGAGGCAGGAGAATGGCGTGAACCTGGGAGGAGGAGCTTGCAGTGAGCCGAGGTTGCACCACTGCACTCCAGCCTGGACGACAGAGCGAGACTCCATCTCAAAAAAAAAAAAAAGTACAGTTTTTCCACAGTTATAACATTTTCCCATTTTAGGGTTTGACCCTTGGTTCCTTTTAGATTTGTCAACTGCTAAATTAGCCATTGCTTGCACTAATATTGTAGAGCGATGAAGTTCAGTTCCCACATCTTGACAAGCTCTGAGAAAATTTCCCAAGTTTTTTGTACACCTCACAGGTGCCGATGCACGTTTACAATCTGCATTTGCATTCTCAAAAGCTAGAGTTAAGGTTAGCATCACTGCAGCTGCGGTGTGATAAATCTGATGCTTCATTGCCTTCTATAGTCATGCAAGAAATTGTGCATAAGGTTCTTGCGACCCTTGCATGATATGTAAAAAGGATTGCACTGGGACTCCCTCTTCTGGAATTGTGGCCCAGTCACATTTAGCAGCCTGTGCACACTGCTGGCATTTGGGAGTGCCATTTGATGTTCCAGGTCTGAATAAGGGCCATTACCTAAGAGCATGTCCTCTGTAATGTCTCTGTGTCCAGCCACACAATTCCGTCTAGCCTTGTCTGCACACATTTCTTGCCAATTTAAATTCCATGTCAGGTATGCACTAGGAGACAAACAAGTGTGAGCCAAATTCTTTACATTGAAGGGTAGAAGGCACACAGCACCAAATACAGATACTAGCAATCCTAAAGTGAACAGGCTCTGTACACCATTATTTACCACACTCCTTTTAATTCCTTCAACAACTTAAACTCTAGTGGAGTGTGTTCATGAATAAGCTGCTATGGATTATTTGGATCAGGCCTTACAGAAATAGGAAAAGTGCAAGGTCCTCAGGGCTCTCCAGCTATGGCAGCAGAGTGTAAAATTCTCTGTATTGGGGTCTCTATTTCTGCTACCGAAGGAGGCAGTACAGATGTTTCTGCTATTGGAGGAGGTGGTATAGGCCAATTTTTATCCTCCTTCTCCTGTTTTTTATTTTCAATTGGAGCTGTGGGTGGGACAACAGATTTTTTCAGATTTTTAGACTCAGAACATCACTCCTGCTGTCCAGCAGAATAAGAAGGAGATAATGGCAGAAGGACAGTATGGACTAAACTCCAAGTGGAGAAAACGGAAGGATCAACTTTGAGACCTTTTTACTGAGCCTGTTTTAATCCTTCTGCTCTGTCCCAATTTTCCATATCAAGAGTGCCTGTCTGTGGGAACCATGGGTTATGCATAATAACCTCCTGCAGCATTGTAGTTAATGTCTGAGATCTAACCTGAGCACCAGATTATTTCAACAAAACTTTAAGCAACTGCACATAATGTTTTTCTTCAATAGACAAATTCTGCCTCACGTTACCCTGATTCAGAAAACTTCCCGTTCCCAATACTTCTTTAGAGCACTGACCTTATATTGCTCCCAGTACCTCTTTAGGGCACTGACCTTATATCAGCTGCCAGCAGACTCATCTCGGGGTCCCCACTCGTCTTGTCAAATTCAGTTCCTCTGCTCCACCAGATCTTCTTTGTTCACATTCTCATGTCCCTGTGTTTAGAAACCACTATGGTGTCGCCCTGTCGCTGTTTGAACATCACTATGCCATGGACCCTGTTAGACTGAACATAGGAGGATGAACGTGGAAATAAAGACAAAAGAGTATATTTGGAAGAAGGGGTCAGGGGCACCTTGCTCTTTGTGAATAAAGGCCCTGAGCCTTGAGCTTCCTTCGTATTTACTGAGAAGAGATAGCAAGAAGGGGGTCATTGTCGGTCTGCTGCTTGCTCCAGAGCAGCCTTGCAAGACTGCATTCCTTGAACAATAGATTCTAGATGTCCCAGTAGATAACCTGAAGGAGCTCAGCGCCAGGGAGTGATTGCCCTCAGCAAACCTTCTGGTGGCCAGCACAGAGGAGAGTTTGCCCCTGCTCTGTATTCATGATAAACAGTTTGCTGTTTGATCATATTGCCTCAGTGGAAATTCTGAGTTGGTCATGATTCTCCAGCCTCCGGCTCTCTACACTGAATGGATTCAACAAGAAAGTGGTTGAATTTATGCAACTGTCTAGTTATTTATAATGAAACAAGCAAAAATTAACCATAAAGAAGTGAATTGGGTGATGATTGTATAAAAGATGTGAGTCTAGGCCAGGCATGGTGGCTCTCGCCTGTAATCCCAGCAATTTGGGAGGCTGAGGCGGGCAGATCATGAGGTCAGAAAATCGAGACCATCCTGGCTAACACGGTGAAAACCAGTCTCTATTAAAAAAATACAAAAAAATTAGCCAGGCGCAGTGTCAGGCACCTGTAGTCCCAGCTACTCGGGAGGCTGAGGCAGGAGAATGGCATGAACCCGGAGGCAGAGCTGGCAGTGAGCCGAGATTGTGCCACTGCACTCCAGCCTGGGTGACAGAGTGAGACTCCATCTCAAAAAAACAAAACAAAACAAAACAAAACAAAAAGATGTGAGTCTAGACTTTTCAGAAAGAGCACAGTGTGAACCAGTGCTCTCAACCTCAGCACTATTGACATTTTGGACCAGGTAATTCTTTGTTGGTGATGGAGGCTGTTGTGTACATTGCAGGTTCTCTAGAAGTGTCCCTGACTTCTACTCATTAAATATCAGAAGAAATCCCTGTTGTGACAACCAAAAATTCCTCCAAACATTGCCACATGTTCCCCAAGGGTGATGGGAGGGAAGGGAGGGGTGGTGAACTATCCCTGGGTAAGAACCATGGGTGTGAACCATCTGAAAAAATCTGTGTTGAACAAGCCACTATTAGTTATGGAGCAGCTGAGAATTACTTTGAAAAACATCTGTTGAAAATCTTGGTCCTACAGAAAATGAAAATGTTGTAGAATTCTGGTCCCAATACAGTGCTATGTTTCCAGAAAATGAACTTGTGGAGAACCAAGATTTACTGATTTCCTTGCCTTTATAATCAGTCATCAAATCATATCATTTATCTTCCATAGCATCTTCTTTCTTAATTTCTGTGCCACTGGTCCACTAATTATCTGTAGTAATGAATCACAACCAGAGCCATTTTATTCCCATTTAATGCCCGAACTAACTCATTTCTCTCAGTCTCCCACTCCCAATAATACTAGCAGGCATCAAATTTCCAGCCTTGGCCTGAGGTAGAACTCTCGGTTTTGTAGTCAATTCCCCTCAGAAAGGGAGAAATCAAGAAAATGACATTCTCATACAGACAGTTTGCAAAAATGAGCAGGTCCCAGACTTTGAGTACGACCTTTGCAAAGCTCTCTTTGCCCTTTAGAAACGATGCCCTGGATCAAAAACGTCTGTCTTTTTATTCTTAAATTATCTAAGCACTTTCTTTACAGACAGAAAGTTAAAAAATAAACATGTGTGAAGTCGCTGTCACTGTGGTTTGCATGACTAGCACTGTAATCCATGCTCATGTGTCCCAGTTAGGGTCAAAAGGTTTGGCAAATAAAACCAGAGGATGCCCACTTAAATTTGGATTTCCAATAAATTATGGTGTGTATCTGAAATTCAGATTTAACTAGGAACCTGTATTTTATTTGGCAGCCTCAGGCCAACTTGCTAGTCAAACCTCAGAACAAGGAGTGATTTAATACTTCCTTGTGTTCTTCAACACATGCCCAGGATAGGCATATAGAACTTTTAAAATGATAAATGCAAAATGAATGAAAGTTTCTCCTATACATTGGAACTAGCAGCCCTTGCATCTCTGCTCCCACTTCAAGAAACAACCTGATACATATGAATATCAGGAATTCTGTCAATAATTCAGACACAATCTGGTCACTACTCACTAATAATGGGCAGACTCTCAATCTCTAGAATCAGAGAATCTGAATAGAAACATAATCTCTTCTACTTGGGTCAATTTTTACTAACCAAAGCCTTTTTGTAATCTATCAAATGCATTTAATAATAGCATCATCTTCACAGGATTATTTTTAAGTGTAAAATTAAATAATGACTTCTTAGCACTGACCACATAATAAACACTCAAAAATATTTTCATTTTAATTTTTTATGATCCCTTTAACTGCAGCTCACATTATTTTTCTTATTCCTTGATTCTAAAGCAATTAGTATCTTCATCATGATTTTGCAATTGTTTTCTGTTCTTCTATTAGTTTCATAAAGAATTGTCATTCTGAAAACATAGGGCAGAAACACTAGCTTATGTCTAATAATGCAGTATACCTAAACAAACCTCACACAAAAGGCATCTGCTGACATAGGAGAAAGGGACTTTCTACATGCTCAGATTTAAACTGCAATCTGATTTCTAGCACTACATTTGGGATACTGGGTTTTACTTATATCTTCTCAATTTTAGATTCCAGAGATGTATATGTTTTTAAACACCACAGATAAAATAGGATCATTATTGAAATTGTATACTGAAAATCAAAGGCCTGGTACACAGTCACTGCAAAATGTTATATGGCATGTACTGATGGAGACCAGATTCATTTTATTCATCACTCCATTCTCATGACTTAGAGCAGTAGCTGGCATATTCTAAGTCACTAATAAATATGGGTTGTGTGAAATATTGGCTGTGTGATGTTTTGCATGAACATTCACCACTGCACACAGGGACCCTCTCGTATTTCCTTGCTAATGATGACTGAGCATCTCTGGTTCACAGATCCTCCTGCTTCTCTTCAGCCTCTTTAGCCTTTTCCTTTAGATTCAGCTGGCTTCCTGAACCCAGAGCGCAGTCCTTCCCTGAAGCTCTCTACTCAGAACAGTCAACCTTAACCTCATCCTCACTTCTATTTGCTCTTCAAATGGTCCAATCCATTTTCCATCCTGGATACTCCATTGACTGCAAATACCAACTCCAGCAAACCCAGCACTTGCTTCTCTCTCACATTCTCACTTCACCCACTTAATGATACTCATTGGCTTCTCCCCGCTTCTTGAAAAAAATCTGTTTTCCTTGACTTACAAGCATTATGTTCTCTTGGTTTTTCTCCTACATCCCTGGGGCTCCCTCTCTGTCCCCTTTGCTGGCCTGTGCCTTCTTCTTTTTTCTACACACAAGCTATTACCCTATGTATCCTCTTCCACTCCCTGGAATTTAACAGAGTACACGTATTGATGCCATCAACATAAATACTTCCAGCCCTGGACTCACCGTGAGTCTCTTAAATTCCATTGACCTTCTGATTGTTCCACATAAACGTCAATAAATCATTTCCAACCACCCACTTCAAATAATTTCCTCCCACAGTTTTCCCTATCTCAATAAACAACACCACCATCCGCTTATTTGTCAAGACAAAATCCTTAGAAATAAGCTTGATTGTTCTATCCCCTTTACAGTAATCCATTAACAAGCTGAGCAAATTACATGCCGAGTCTATCCACTTCATCTTTTTCACTGTCTTTGTCACTAATGCACACCAGGAAGCCATGAGCCTGTTTTCCCTGAGGATTCCCTGCTGTGCTCCTAAATAGTCTTCCTGACCACTTGTGAACCCCAGCGATTCAATCCCCACAAAGTAACTAGAATTAGTTTTAAAAATTGAATATAAATGGACTCTCCTTGTAACCATGCAGTAGCTTCCCATATCTGTTTAAATAAAATTAAAATTTCTTACTAAGAACATCAGGGCCTAATATGATGAGGCTCCTGACTTCCTCTCTGCATCCTACCTCATCTTCTGCCTCTCCATTTTCTTGCTTCCTATAGGTCAGCCCCTCTAGCCTTCTTTCTGTCCCTGCACATAATTTCCCACACCAGGATTTCCCCCACATTTTGTCTCCCTGGAACTTTTGTCCCTTAGATCCTCATGAGTGTCTACTTATTTTGTTGTCTCAGCTGAATGTCACTTTCTCAGATAGAGCTGCCTAAGCATATGAACCAAAGTTGGGTGGATCCAATTCTCTCTTTCCACAAACCTGATGTCTTTTCTTCCGTGCACGATGACTGTCTGAAATTTTCTTCTTTGTTAAATGATTATTGGGTTATTGTCTATCTCCTCTATGATTGCGTAAGTTCCATGAGTAGGGACCAGTCCACTGTATCTCACTCAAATAGAATGATTTGAACCTAGAAGGGAGCCCAGTACACAGTAGCTGCTGATAAAAATAAGTGTGGTTTATATTAATAAACCAGGGTTCTGGGAACTGATCACTGTTTGGATCCTGGAAAGCAAGAAGGGGCTCAAGCTCCAGCACTCTTTCATTTTGATGTCATACTAGACCCCTTCTCTTCCCTGTGAGAAATACAGGCACACGACTACTTTCTCCTCCTTCTAGTTGGATGAATTCACAGATAAGGAAACAGTAATTTTTTTTCTCTTTTTTTTTTATTTTTGGGATGGAGTCTAGCTCTGTCGCCAGGCTGGAGTGCAGTGGCGTGATCTGGGCTCACTGCAACCTCCGCTTCCCGGATTCAAGTGATTCTCCTGCCTCAGCCTCCTGAGTAGCTGGGATTACAGGCATGTGCTACCATGCCCAGCTAATTTTTTTATTTTTAGTAAAGACGGGTTTCACCATGTTGGCCAGGATGGTCTTGATTTCCTGGCCTCATGATCTGCCCATTTCAGCATCCCAAAGTGCTGGGATTACAGGCATGAGCCACTGAGCCTGGCCAAGGAAACAGTAATTTTAAGAAAAAAGAATTTTTTTTTAAATTAAGATTCATCTCTTTCCGGCTGGGCATGTTGGCTCTCATCTGTAATCCTAGCATGTTGGGAGGCAGGAGGATCGCTTGAGCCCAGGAGTATAAGACCAGCCTGGGCAATATAGCAAAATGCAGTCTCTACCAAAATTACAATAATTAGCTGGGTGTGGTTTCCTGCCTGTAGTCCCAGCTACTCTGGAGGCTGAGGAGGGAGGATCACTTGAGCTTTGGCGGCAGAGGTTGCAGTGAGCCTCTATCATACCACTACACTACAGCCTGGGTGACAGAGCCAGGCCCTGTCTCAAAAAAAGAAGAAATTATCTCTTGTGATGAACCTCATAGTGCTCTAGGTCTGTGCAAGCTTTAAGGATTTCGGGAAATAATGACAACATAGCTGGGGAAAAATAGAGAGAAACTGGAGGAAGAGGTAAGTGGACATGGCTAATTAAGAAAAGCTGACGGCATGATGGGTGAACCTATGAAATTTAGGACAAGACCCGAGTAGGACAATGAGTTCCCAGGACTTGCTCATTGACTTTCAGCCCTATGAGATGTGAACAATGTCCACATTGTCTCGGTAACTCCACTCAGAGTATATAGTTTGAACCTTAGCAAATTTCTGATATTTCACTATTTTTGACTTACAAAAATATAATTTCATATAATTTATCCTACATTCATTGAATCTCTTCTTGTGGAGTCTAGTTAGAGCATATAGGAGATGTAGGAGAAGCTAGTATAGAAAGGTTAAAAGAGATTCATAATAAACACTAACCTGGGCCAGGTTTTCAGAGGATGCCTTAAGTTCTTTAGGCACCAAAGAACACCCCATAGATGTTCTTTGTCTGTAGGGTGATACCAAGTACTAAAGATCTTGGCTTCAGCTCCACGGATTTTTCCCCATAAGAAAGAAAGAGCACTAAGTATAACTTTTGTCAGAGAACCTACATAAGCTACAGGGATACAGGCTTTATAAAGACTGGACTTCAGAAAGAAACGAAAGTAGATAATGGGGAGGCCACTGGGTACATCTTCACTTATGAGGAAGAGGGGCCAACACCACAGGTCCTGTGGAGGACATAACACAGGATCATCTAGGAGAGACCCTTTGAATTCCCTTGACTCTCACAAAATTTTCAGAAAAAAACCTCCTTTTGTCTGACTTAAGTCAACATAATAAAGGGAAGTGCTGTATGGGGAATTTATTTTAGCATCCTTATTTCTAAATCCTCTAAAGACCCTGAGGACATGTGATGCAAAGTTTTATTGGTAGAGATTTGAGAAGAAATGACCTGTATGGAGGCCCTTAAACAAGTCTCATGGAGAGGGCAAGTAGCCAAGCTCCTTTTGTGGAGGAAGTAATTTGGGATCCATGTGATAAAGATGGGCAATCCCTGTGGAAAACGTTACAAATTCTTAAGGGACATGGACTGGGCACAGTGACAAATTTAGGTCCCTACTTTACCCCCCTTATGGTAGCTCAGCAACCGCAGTGTGCACTTAGGTCGGGTGTCCCCAGCCAAAGCCAGTGGGGAGCTCAGCACCATCAGTGTCACTGTCAGCGCTGCCATGCAGGAGCCTCCAGGGAGCCTCAAACACACCATGCTGGAGAACAGGACAGGACCAGGTGCCAGGGTAGCAGGCAAGTCTCACATTCACGGAGAACTATGACCTCCCTCTACTCACATCCCCAACACAGGGAGTAAGGTACTAATTTCTTTGCTCCTGGGTTGCGTAATCTCGTGTTGGAGAACCAATCAGCATCTGAGTTCAATAGCATCATCAGTTGCTGGTCAGAGATGCAGTATGAAGGTCCTCTTCTGAAACAATTTCCTTCTTTAAATGATTGTTTTAATTTAGTACTTGGAAGGTTGGAACCAGTTGCATGGAAAACACTTTAACTGGGTCCTTATTGTTAGCCAGCTCTGTGCTGGTCAGTGATGTGTTCACAAGTTTGAGCCTTGTAAGAGCATTCATTTCCCACTTGACAAGACAACTGTTTGCAGAAGTGAGTGTGTGAGTGTGTTTAGGAGTAAAGGAGATGAAGGGAACATGGTTGTAAATCCGGAGACCTGTAATCTAGTCCTTATTGCACCATATCTTAATGTCATAGATTTGGGAAAATTACTTCATGTCTCACAGTTGATACGAAGGCACTGCGATCTTTCAGGTCTTTCAATACTGGAAAATGCTGTGATTCTGTGGACGCCTCAAGTAGCAACAGCCCCTGTGTATCTGATGATATGACAGAATGACAGCTGTTAACTGGAGAGGGTATTCTGTACCTATTTCCAGGTAGGGATGTCTTTAATAAGTTAAAGGAAATGGAAAGTTTGTTAATAATTTAATCTCAGTAAAAGGTTGTTTTCAAGTGTGTCTCCTGATGCTGCCCCCAAGTTTAGTGGCACCTCCAGAACACACACAGGAAGGGGCTTGCAGGGACCACCTATGTGCAATGGAGGGTCTGAAGGTGCCTTTGTATAGCACTTACCCTAACAATGTGATAAGGTCAACTGGGCAATCGAAGTATTCAGGGGTCTGAGAGATTGATCAAGGACTCAAAGTCAGCTGTTGACAGAACAACACTGCTGTAAAATAATTAATATTTTATGTGAAGAGTGTTCAATCCCTCATCCTGGTTCCAATTAGGATTTCCTCATTTGATTGAGGTTATGGCCCTTTACTATTATGCTTCTTTTGATTTATCATAAGGAAAGATATAAGAAGACTGTGCTAACTAATATGTTACAGAATGTTCAGGAAAGAGAACCCTAGGGAAAAACTATGAATTACATCAGCTGATGTAATCATGTAATTTTAAACATATAATTCTACATTTAGATAATTATTATGCTTTATATTAATATAAATGTGACATCTAAGATTCAGAATAGACTTCAAAGTACAACTATACATATAAAGCTCTGCATTAATTCACACTGTACCACAGTTGAGATAGGCACTCCTTCCTTATGTGCCTTAGTGTTTCCAGGAGCAGGATTCTCACCATGCTGCAATAAAAATGAGCATTTGACTTTGTACTCAGAATTGTACTAAAAGCTTTATATGCTTCATATTTTTATTTAATTCTCACATCAGCTCAGTAAAATAAACACCGTTTTCATGCTTACAGGTGGAGAGACTAAAACGATGGAAATAAAACAAATTTTGCCAAGATACACTAGTAAACAGTACACTATAGATTGAGCCAAATTATATACCTCTCAAGCTCAGCCATTAGATCATACTCCTTCAGAAAGAAGGGGAAAAGCAAAAGCAAAAGAAAAAAGAAACAAATTTGTGAAAAAAAGAAACTAATTGTGATAGTAGTAATCCAGGAAATCCAGCTAAGGTTCATGTTAGTATTTCAGGATAAAAGGGTGGTGATGCTGGCGGTGGCGAGCTGTCCAGAGTGGCCGGCTGCTGCGGGAAGTTGCAAGCGGTGGCGGCAGGAGCCACTGAGGGAGTAGTGGCCGTGGTGGGACCCTTGTGCCCCATATCCCCTGTGCCTCGCGTCACTGAGGCAGCTGACTGCACTGACCCCACTCTTGAGCAGCCAGCAGGACCGCCCCCAGGCCCAGAGCCTTCACCACTCCTGCGTTGCTGCTCTCGCCCTGCAGTTGTGGGGAGGGCATGGAGCTGGGGCCACCCTTCAGTGACCCGGGGTGGGACGTGGGAGTGGCCTCACTTTGAGGACCCGGCCAGCGGCAAGGCCGCTGTCCCGCCCTGCCAAGGGCGCCCAGTTCCTGCGCCTCAGGAAGAGGCTCTGCTTGAGGCCGTCCAGGGTTTTGTCCCCGCGGGTGGCCACCCAGCCTGATGCTCCTGACAGCCAGGCCCGGGCTGTGATCTGTTCCCCAAGGTGCCTCCCCCGCCCCATCCAGGCGAGAAGGAGCCCCGGGCACCCTGAGTGCTAGCAGAATAACTTGCAGAGACATCACCCTTGCCCCACATGCTGGCCTGCGCCCAGCGAGGGGAGCTGCCCACCCCAGGCTGCCAGAAGGTGTGACGGGGGATACCTGCAGGCTCCACGGAATGGGTTGGAAACCCCACCCTCCCGGCCCTCCCCGCAGGCAGTAGGATCCAGGCCTCTCTACACTCCACTCCCTCAAGACTGAGAAGGCCCTCCTGTCCATGCAGGCTTGGGGGTGTCTGTTCCCACTTTCTGGCCCCTCCCTTGGCCTCACCCGGGTCCCAGGTGCCCACTCTGATCTCAGAGTGGAGTTGGGGCAGAGCCCCAGTGCTGTCACAGACTGGCTGGGTGTGTGCACGCTCAGGGAAGTGTTGACACACCAGCCTTTTGCCACCTCAGTCACAGGGAAGCCAAGGGAAGATGGGCATGTAATATTTGAAGTAAGTTTCTTATAGGGAGCATGTTGAAGAGTCATTGCTTTTCACTCTGGCATTTGTCTTTTTACACACTTTACATGTAATGCAGTTATTAATATGTGAGCTCTTATGACTGCCATCTGCTTTTTGTTTTCTTTTTTGTTTCCTTTGGGTTTTTCTTCTCTGGTTTCTTTCCTGTTTTCCAATGTGTTCCTTAAGCAATTTTTAGAATTCCATTTTTAAATCAATCTTTTTTTGGTGTATCTCATTGTATAGTTTTTGTGATTTATCTGTCTGTTAACATAACTTATCATAGTCTACTGGTGCTGACATTTTACCAGTTTGACTAAAGTGTGGAAACTTTACCTCCTTTATATCCCTTTCCACTTCTGCATGTGTAATATGTATGTTTTATTTTCTCTACTTGCATCAAAACCACATCTGTCAATGTTGTAATTTTTGCCTCAACCATCAAGTTAATTTACAAAACTGAAGAAGTCTGTTGTATCTAACCATATTTTTACTCATTTGCTGTTTACTTTTTTCCCAATTGTCCAAGATTTCTTCCATTATCATTTCTATTCCAGTTAAAGCACTTCCTTTAGCCCTTGTTTTAACATAAGTCTCCTAGCATGAAATTCTCTTGATTTTCCTTCCTTTAAGTATGTCATGGCCAGGCGCAGTGGCTCACGCCTGTAATCCCAGCACTTTGGAAGGCCAAGGCAGGCGGATCCCATGAGCTCAGGAATCCGAGACAAGCCTGGGCAACATGGCAAAACCCTGTCTCTGCCAAAAATACAAAAAATTAGCCAGGCGTGGTGGTGTGTGTCTGTAATTCCAGCTACTCAGGAGGCTGAGGTGTGAGGATCACATGAGCCTGGGAGGCAAAGGCTGCAGTGAGCCATGGTCGCGCCACTGCACTCTAGCCTGAGTTTTTTTTTTTAGATGGATCAAAACTCCATCTAAAAAACAAAAAACAAACAAAAAAAGAAAAGTAAAAGAAAAAAAAAAGTCATGATAGAACATTTTATAATAATGTTTTTACTGGATATACATTCTAGGTTAACATTCCTTTCAGCCATTAAAATATCTTGTGCCACTTCTGTCTGGTCTGCCTGATTTCTAATGAGCAATCCACTGTCATTTAATTTATTTTCTTCTGTGCATGAGATGTCCTTTCTCTCTTGTTGCTTTCGAGATTTTTTTTGGCATAAATTTCTTTGGATTTATTTTCATTTGGGTTTGCACAGATTCTTGAATTTTTACATTTAAGCCTTTGTCCAAATTTGGAAAGTAGTCAGTCTTCCTTCAAGCACTCTTTGGGCATCACCCATTTGTCATTTCCCTCTAAGACTCCAGTAACACAAATTTCATACCTTTTGTTATAATCTTACAGATTTATCAGTATGAAATCATACTAAATATTATGAAAAACTTTACAAAATAAATATGCATGTAATAAATAATTCAAAATGTACAATGTACTGTGCATGTAATGAATAAATTATTCAAAATGTACAATGTACTGAAGCTGACAAATATCATAAAATAGGAAGATTTCCACATCTCATAGAGAAAGTAAGTCCATTCTATAAAGCTTTCCCAAGACAAAACCCCAGGTTCATCTAGCTTCAATAACTACTTAAAAATATTTAAGGAACAAACAACATTAACTTTATACAAACTTCAAACATATTTGGAAAAAGGAAAAGCACTTGCAATTACGTTTGATGAGATCTGTGTAAACTTTACTTCAAGACTTGAACGGATCTCTACAACGAATAGGAATTAAGAGACCAATAACTCTTATGAGCCAAGTTCTTAAGGAAATATTAGCCAAGTGAATTCAGTGATATATGGCTACTACATCATGACCAAGTGGAGGTTATTCCAGAAATGTAAGGTTGTTTGAGCATTTGAGAATCAATTAGTGTGATTCATGACATTAACTGAAGGAAGGAGAATACACATGCAACCAACTGGATAGAGTCATGAAATACGATTTGACAGAATTCAGCACTTGGCCTTAATTTTCCCCCACTTTCGCTGTGCTCCTGCTCTCACCATGTGATACCCAGGCTCCCCTTTCCTTCCCCCATGATTGTTAGTTTCCTGAGGCCCTCACCAGAAGCAATTGCCAGCACCACACCTCCTGTACAGCCTGCAGAACCCTGAGCCAGTGAAACCTCTTTTCTTTATGAATTACCCAGCTCCAGGTATTTCTTTCTGGCAATGTAAGAATGGACTAACATAATTATGCTCTATCATGAACAAATAGAAAACAAAACCAAGAAAATAATTTTATCAACTTCCTCACCTCTTTGCTTTTTTCTTCTACTTTTTTCAACTTAAATTTGCTTCTTTTTATTATTAAAAGTTTACACCTTTGATTTTTACATATTTATCCTTTTATAATACAGGCATTTAAAACTAAATATTTTTCTCTAAGGACTGCCTTGGTTGCATCTCGAAAATTTTTAAAATTCATTTTAATATTATTTTATTTAAAATTATTTTCTAATTTCCTTCTGATTTCCTCTTTGACAAGCCATAAATTATTTAGAAATGTATTATTTTAGTTCCAAAAATTTAGGCAGTTTTCTCAATCTTACTAATTTGTAATTTGATAAGATTGTGTTCAGAGAATATACTCTGTATGATTTTATTCTTGTAAAAGTACTGAGTCTAGTTCTATAGTCATAGTATTTGTTCTATTTCATGAATTATCTTTGTGCAATGCAAATAAATAAATATTTTGTAGTTATCAGATGTTGTCAATTTATGTCAATTATAAATGCCAACTAAGTCAAGATGGTTGAAAGTATTGTTCCTATCTTGATTTCCTTCCTGATCTTTGCATGAAGCTAGAGAGATGTTTGTTGTCTTCTGTCTACGTCCCTAGTTCCCACACAACCAGCATGAAGTCAGAAAAAGTTCTGGAAAGAGAATCAGCTGACAGGGTAAAGTAGATATGTATTATTCAGGGGCCCTCTATAGATTGTAATGCATCACACAAGCCCACGGGGCTATTTACAACTCAGCTGGTTTGTCCTTGCTCTCTCACAATCTCCCTTTCTCAGCCAGGCTTAATCTTCCACCCATGTTAAGATTCAGTAGATGGACCAAAGAATGAGAGTGGACACTTGTCCCTGCTCACCTAAGTGGGATTTGTTCATCTCTGGAATTTGGAATTTTTATACTTTTTGATCCACGGCTGGTTAAAATTTTAAAAATAAGATTATTTTCCAGTTTATCCATTTAGTTTAGTCTATATATCTTTTTGCTCTTATAGTAACAGTGACAATTCTTATAATTTTCCACCTCCTCACTGCATTGTGGTTTAATATTTTTTCCAATCTATGTTGATAGTCCTACATAATTTACTTAAAGCCCTGAATATTTTTCCTTTGTATGGCTATACCACAGTTTACCTTTCTTATATCTAAATGTAGAGAATGTTTCTTTTCTCCCCTGTTACATTTTTTTTATGTCATCATGGATATATGAGGAAGAATTTACTGAGACTGTAACAACCTAGAGTGGAAATACTGTATTATCCAAACTACTCACAGGGTTACACCAATATATGCTCACCGTGCCCCATACAGCACCAGATGTCATCCTGCAGTGTGCTGTCACTTCGCATGCTGCATAGTTTTTAGGATGTACAAAATTTTTATAATCAAGACAAATTAATCAGTTTTTCTTTTTGAATCTGGAAATGTTTTTGTTATTCCAAACCGTGGCTCAACAAACTACCAATTTTATGTCTCCTTGGGCTCATGTAGGATTGTTCTTTAAGACGGATGTTAAAATGAGATTTTTGTTGTTTTCATCAGCATATAATAACTGTATTTTGAGTTTTAATAGACACTACTACACTGCCATAACTCAAAATCCTAATAATATGAGAGAGTCTATTCCCTTAGAATCTTGATTTTAAAACAAACTATTGTACTTGTCAATTGTGGAGTGGGAGAAATAGTTTATTACACTGCTGTTTGAATTTGGATTTTTCTGTTCATTGGTGCGTTTGAGCAAATATTTATATTTATCGGCTATTAGAATATTCTCTTCTATAGTGAGTCTATATCCTTTGCCCAATTATCTATGGCATTTCCATGAATTTATTTATTGATTAGTTAACAATTTTTCTAAGAAAGTTAGCCCATTGTCTGCCTTACATGATCAAATTTTTCCTGAGCGTCATATACTTCTTTTAATTTTGTTATTTTCTTCATGCAAATAAATCAGTAATCTTCTTCAAATATTTTTTCATTTGTATCTTTTGGATTTTATCTTGCTTACAAAGTCTTATTTTTTAAAAAAGAATTATTTTAACACGCTTACTAAAGCATAATTTACATACTACAAAATTCACTCATTGTGTCACAGCTACGGTTTGGAATACTACAAAATTCACTCACTGTATATGTAAAATTGAATGATTTGAGTAAATTAATAGATTTGTGCAATTATCACAACAATCCATTTTTAGAACATTTCTGTCATGTCCCAAATTTCTCTATTTATAGTTAAGTCCCACTGAGACCCCAAACCCTAGGCACCCAGTGATCTGCTTTTGTGTCTATAAATTTACCTTTTCTAGATATTTCAAGTAAATGAAATCATATGACATGTAATCTTTCGTGTCCAATTTCTTTCACTTAGCTAACATTATTGAAGTTCACAAGTTTTGTAGTATGTATCATCATTTTGTGTTTTCATTTCTTTTTGTCTTTTTTCATGTGTGTAAATTTATAAGGTACAAGTGTAGTTTTGGTACCTGCATAGATTGCATAGTGGTGAAGTCGGTGTTTCCACAGTATCCATCACTCAAATCACATGCATTGTATCCATTAAGTAATGTCTCATCATCCGGAGTGCAAGGGTGGAAACTTGCTTTGGGAAAACTACCGTGATGTTCATGGTATCTCCGCTGCCAGATGAGTCTAGTTTTGCCCCCTTTTATTGTTGAATGACATTGCCTTGCCTGGATGTAGTTGAATTTTGTTTATCTATTTACTAGTTGAAGGATATTTGGATTGTTTTCAGTTTTGGCCTACTATGGCTAAGGCTGTTCTGAACCCTAACATATATCTTTGTGAGGACATACGTTTTTATGTCTCTTAGGTAGATTCCAAGGAATGAGATTGCTGGGTCATAAGGCAAACATATGTTAAACTATTTAAGAAATTGCCAAATTATCAGGTATTTGTAAACTCATATACTCCCACCAGCAACGCATAAGGGTTTAGAAAGTCTATTTGTCTTCAAACATAATTATAATGATGATGACAGTATTAGAAATAACATCTGTCTTGGTAATTTTATATTTTCTCTTTATGTTTCAAGTTTTATTTATCCAGGATCTATTTAGTGAAAGAAATGAGTTTGGAATACAACTTACAAAAACTGAAACTAAATCTCAACTCTTTCTGTTTCTAATTGTAGACTCTGTTTTATTAACATATTTAATTAAAAAAATCAGTAACAAATGCATTTCTAAAAGTAAATGTATAGTGTGTTTTAGTGCCTTACAGAGCTATTCATTCCTTATTCTACTTTTTTTCAATAATTTCCCTGGAAAATACATTTACCTCATAAAATAACATGTCAGAATACTTAATTGAGTTCTAAAAACAATCCTATTTGCTTGCTTTTTTGTTCTATTGTAATTGAGTTAATGGCTGACATTTAATAACTCTCTCTATATGTGTGTGTGTATATATATGTGTATATATGTGTGTGTATACATATATATACACACATATATATTTGCATATGTATGTGTGTGTATATATATGTATACACACACACATATATACACACACAGATATATATATATATACACATATATATATATATATATATGCACACACACATATATATATATATATAAAGACCCAAAACCCTGAATTGAGGGTGCCTGTCAGGAATCTATAGGCCTTCGTGTGGAAGTTAACTCAAATACTTACGACCTGATAGTACCACAATCTATCATTTCCCTACCCTGAAATCAATTTCTGCTACTCCAGCCACCATTTCTTTATTTTTAAAAATATTTGATTTTGCTCCTTTTCTTCCCATGTGCATCAGGCCGACTCTGCAAAGGTTGCATCCTGGCTTGTCTGAGCCCGTGTGATCCCACAGTCGTTCCAATGCATGAGAAAGTGGGTACTGGGAACAATCTGGAAACAGTTTAGTTGCTCCTTCTAAAGGCACACAGGAGAAAGAAGTATCCTTTTCCTGCCTTTGGGAGTTGTTGTGAATGAATAACAAACCTAAAGCTGCTGCAGGGGTCACCCTACCATCTCAGGAAAGCTGAGATACTGTGTGTGATAGAGAGATGAGCTATGAAGTTCCAGGATTGCTGGTGATGCCACTGGCCTGCTGAGTTGAGCAACCCTGAAGACGCCCAGTCTTGGATCTATCAGCTATGTGAGATAATGGGTTAAAGAAAAATAAAGCCCACTAGATGTAATTTCCTGTTATTAGCAGCAGAAGGCATCTTCATTGAAATATTCATTCCACACATTTTGGTTCTACCTTGTAATTCCACACCACGAGTCTCATATAAAATGAGAAAATCATTTCCTCAACTTAGGAAATGAGGTCTCTTTGTTGCATCTCTGTGATCAAACAGAACAGACATAATTATCAGCTTAATATATTTCTATAGGATTTATACTCTTACAGGATTTATATGTACTTGTACTGCTACTTATGTACAAGTAACATATAACTAAAAATAAAATATGCATAAAAACTTTTGATTGAAAATAAAATAACAGTCGTCTCTGTCAGTGGAGAAATTATGCTCAAATGATTATTACTTTGAAATAGACCTCTGAATTATGTACTTTTATATTTGACATTTCATACTGACTCTCAGGTAGAACATAATGGAGACTCCATTCTCCGTCTTCTAAATGTGTCTTTCTCTGAAATCTGTACAGGTCCTTTGATAACACTATATTATTGAAGTCTCTGGAGTGAAACACTATACACTAATTTACAGTTATAAATACAAAATATTGTAGATGGGGTGAAGACTTCTGATTGACTTGCTGGCTGGTTTCTCATCTGGTTTGCCAAGTTTGTTTCAGTTGTTATAGTCTGTTCTCAGTTTTTATGCACTGCCTTTTTAAATGTTAGCATTACTTTTTTAATTGACAAGTAAAAATTGTATAGCATATTTATGTGGAAGCATGAAGTTTTGTTATATGCCTATAGTGTGGAATGACTAAATCATGGTATTTAACATATACATTACCTCACATACTCATGACACACACGTGAAAATCATTATTCTGTTAGGAAATAATCTTCCCTTTTTCTTTTCTTTTCTTTTCATTTTTTGTCTTTGGAGCCAAATGGACCAGATGATATTTAACTCCATCTTTGAGAAACATTTAATAATGTAATGTGTTTGTGGTACAGGGTGAGTACAGATGCACAGGAGGCCATAGGGTTTAGGCAAAGGGGAGCACAAAAGTTGAAGATGAGGCGCTGCCATCAATGCTGGGACTTCAGGCCAAGGGCAGGAACTGAGGAAGCCACAAGGGAGGACATTTTCTGCAGTTGCTGAACCAGTAGCAACTAGGTCCTGAGAAAGCCCTCTCTCGTGGAAGAATAACAGCCAGGCGGGAAAGCTTTTCATCCTGCAAAGCTGGGGCAGAAGATTCTTCCTTAAATTGTCATCTGCACTTCAGCTCAGGAATCCTGCAAAAGACAGAGGAGAGTGTTGTTTTCAACCTGGCTCTACTAACGTTTCTTTCCCCCTCTTTGAAGGACTCAGATGAGAACACTGCAGGAAGAAGAAAAACAAGTTCCTGAGTCTCCCAGAGCCAATAGTCCTGCAGAGCACAGGCCTTTTCTAAGTGGAGAGGAGGAGTTTTGGTGTAAATTGCCTGATCAGAAATTTGGATCCAAAGTCTTTCCTATTATTTCTGTCTCATGCCTTATCACCTCTACCATCATTCTAGTGTGTCCTGAGTTTGTTCCTTCCGGTAGGTTCAGGGTCTGGCTGACTTCAAGAGTGAAGCCACAGACCCTTGCAGTGAGTGTTATAGCTCTTAAAGGTGGCACGGACCCAAAGAGTGAGCACAAGATTTATTGTGAAGATCAAAAGAACAAAACTTCCACAGCATAGAAAAGGACCTAAGCAGGTTGCAGGTGCTGGCTAGGGTGACCAGCTTTTATTCCCTTATTTGTCCCCGCCCGTATCCTGCTGATTGGTCCATTTTAAAGAGTGCTGATTGGTCCATTTTACAGAGTGTGGATTGGTCCATTTTACAGAGTGCTGATTGGTCCATCTTACAAACATCTAGCGAGCCACAGAGTGTCAATTTTTACAGAGCACTCATTGGTGTGTTTTTACAGAGCACTCATTGGTGCATTTAGAAACCTCTTGTAAGACAGAAAAGTTCTCCAAGTCCCCACCCAACCCAGAAGTCCAGCTGGCTTCACCTCTCACTGGAGAAACTGAATCTGTGTCTAAAAGAGGATTAAAAGGTATTACCTGTTGGCTGAAGTCCAGAGTGTCCTGGGAAAAAGAGGAAAAGATATACACTTAAAAGATATTGAAGCAAATCTGTCCTCCAACACAATATCACAGTCCCAGATCTCCCACCGGAGAGTTCTAACACCAAAACCCACACCAACCAGGGCAGAGAGGAGCAGAAACAGACCATGTGACCCATGAAGCATGAAGTGTCTGTCACAGGATCCAGTGTAATTCCATTAACTTTAGTGGCTCTTCCTTAATTTGCTCCAAGATCTCAAACCAAAGGACCCCTACTTGTTAACCTTCCTCTTGTCTCTGCAGGCCACAAGCTATTATGCTTTCACATAGTAACCATGCACTGATGATTTCTGGATTAGCAGGACATTAGAGCCGTTTGGGGAAAGAAAGGCTTTATTCAGAGCCACTCATATACTGAGAACTAACCTCAGCAAAGCTCTATTTCCTCCTGCAGAAAAGCCTATGGAAAGGCCCAGCTACCAAAGGCTCCTCACCTTTCTGATTCCTGAAGTAGATGAACAGCCCGGCCCCAAGGAAGAGCAGGCCCAGCACAAAGCCCCCGACTCCACTCAGCATCTTGCTCTGTGCAGATTCAGACCGTGCTCCTGAGAGAGGAAGCCAGGTTTAGTGATGCTTATTCCAAATTGAACCTCTTTAATTGAGACTCTAAGATTCAGAGCTTTGAAAATGGGGAAGAAGGCTGCCCCACAAGAACTAAAATAACTAGCCATTTTGGGAGAAAAAAAGGATTTCAAATCACACTGAACAGTTACAAGGTTCCGACATCAAACTCATTCAAATATTACAGCCTTGATGTAAGGCAAGCGTTCAACATCTGATCCACAGAAAGCCTGAGACTCAGTGAGGCTAAGTAGTTTGTCTAGAGTGACAGAGCTAATAAAAGGCAGAGCTGAGATTGGACTCCCCTCATGTCAGGTAGGCCCCTATGCTTCCCCTCTTCCCAGATCAAAACAAGTAACTCAGAGCAGCAGCACCAGAAACTCAGTCTCAGACCCAGAAGCAGGGCCTGGAGCTTGGGGAGATCGGGTGACCCTGACCTGTGACATCATGGGGAGGTTCAAAAAAAAAAAAAGCATGACTGATTCCACAGGGAGTACAGGTGTTTCTACACACTGTTACAGGGCTATCCCCAGTGACCTGTGCTGATGGAGATGAGAACATGGAGCAAATGAAAATAGGACGTGGGAGAGGAGAAACCTGACACTCAGGGATTAGCACAGTCCCCTTCTTGGTGGGTGAGAAATGTATGAAATCAGAAAGCTGCTCACTCCATTCCACTGTGAGAGCGCTCGTTACGCTTGGGTGCTCCACTTGGCAAGTGTAAACCTCTCCACTCCGAGGAACTGTTTCTAGCATCACCAGGGTCTGGAAGGTCCAGTCTCCATTCTGGATCAGGCCCGTGGACACCACCCCAGCCTTCTCTTCCTGGCCGTTCCGGAACCACCTGACTTCAATGCTGCCTGGATAGAAACCACTCACAGAGCAGACCAGGAGGTTGTGGTGCTGCAGGGGCTGGGTCTTTGCAGGATACACAGTCACCTGAGGATGGACTAGGAGAAAAAAAGGTAGAGGGAATGAGTCAGGAAGACAGAGTAATTCTGCTGGTTTGGCTGTTTGTCTGCTTCTCTGCAAACCCAGGCTCTGACCTTGACCAGGCCTCCAGCACAGCTGGCCATGTGGCCTTACAGTGTCATCAGCCTGGAATTTAATCTTGATAGTGAGGACCCATTAGATTTGAGAGATGTGAAAAATTGCGTTTGCTTCTTCATAACTTGAAATTGGCATGCATTGTCAAAGTGTTTACAAATTTTTGAAAGTACAGAGTGTAGTAATTAAAACTGATACCTGAGCCAGGTTGCATGGTTCAAATCCAAGGTCTGCCTTTTACTGGTTGATCCTGGAAGAGTTGATTCTTCTGTGTCTCAACTTTGTCACCCCCAATGAAGGATAATTATACTAATTTACCTCTTGGGGTTATATGAGGATTAATTTATGTAAAATACATAATGACTGAAGATAGCCTTCAATTTATGAGATCAGAAAGCTTCTCACTCCATTCCACCGTAAGGGGGCTCATCACACTTGGGTGCTCCACTTGGCACCTATTTATCATCCTTGTACACCGTGACAGAAAAATATGATTTAAAGCAATGTACATAGACAAAGGGACAGAGTTGGGTACATGAGAAAACCGAGTATGAATTTTTAGGAATACTACTGCCATGCACTCACACCTTAGAACACCACAGAAATGGTTCTGCCCCTGGGAAGGTGGGACAGACAGAAATGATTCTCCAAATTTTTACGTTCCTAGAAAAGCATGAGTCCTAAAGCAGACAGAAGGATTTAGGAGCGTCATTTTAGTTTTGAAAGTTCTTATATTTTCATTCAGCTGCTCAATGTATCCCCCGTGCAACACAAGCAGAATTATTATCAGGCCAATTGTAAAATGATTTTTCTTTCCAGAATCACATTTGGATTAAGGCAGGGTCTGGAACTCATTACTTGTGGTGCTTATGCCCAGGAAAATCCCCGACATTAGCATACTCTCAATAAATACAATGTTTTTAGAAGTAAGGAGAAACCTAGAGACAAAAATACCACAAAATGGCAGATTTAAGATGGATTGTAAATCATTAATAAAATTTTTGCAATACATTTTATTAAATAAAAATGTTCAAATTCTTAACATGGAAAAGAATTTTCAAAATCAACATACAAACCACAAACTGGAGCAAATGCTGAATCAAATATCAATAAAGTGTTAATAATCTTACAGTACAAAGAACCCACAAAGTCACTGAGAAAAATACTAAGCCCTAGAGATATTAGGCAGTAGATCATTGTCCATTACCTACCAAATAAAATAGGGAATTCTTAGAGCAGTTATTAAAATTGACCAATAAATCGGTCAAAATAATTCAAAAGAACTCTTTTGAATGAAAAACAGACCTCTCCACATTTTTTCAAATGAAAAAATATAAATTAAAAATTAACCAGAAACATACATTTTCAACTTTTGGTGAATGTCATAATAAAGGTCAACAAAGGGGAAAGTGATCCCTAAGTTGTGTCACAACTATTATATATAAAAGAATAATATGTAACTACTAGAAAACTATTAGCATTATAATAATACAGTAACTGTGTTAAAACTTTAATTCAAAAGTTAGTTTCACTGTCATTTCTACTATGTAAAAATATACACACTAGAAAAACAAAAAACTAGCAAGAAATTTATACCTAAAGAAGTTTCAGAGGTGCCTTAGAGGTCTACTCAATTCCCCTAGAACTTAATCTAATGCTTTTACAAACAGCACGCACTTTTATTTCAGAGATTACATGAAGGGTGTGTGCCAGGGACAGTCTGGAACCGGCCTCCTCACATTATCCCAAACCTTCCTTACCCCTCAGCTCTCCTCCCCTAAACCTTCACCCCACCCACACACACCTTACACTTTCCTTCCCTGCATCTCTAAGGACCCAGGACAATCAAGGTCTCCTCTCTCTCCAGCCGCCCGCACCCACCTCCCTTGTCACCTCTCCACAGAAGTCTCCAAGGATAAGAAGCAGCCCCCTCCTGCTTCCCCTCCCACAACAGGCACACAGACACAGACCAATCCACACTCTACACACACACCTGTGCCTTCATAACTGCTTGCTCGGGATTGAGAGGATTCTAAATGCTCACAGATGGCGCGCTCCCTCTCTCTGTCTCTTCCTCTCTCTCTCTCTCTCTCACACACACACACACACACACACACACACTCTCTCTCAGATTTCCAGCTCACAGGGACCCAGGCCCCGCCCCCCGACATGCTCACCTCGCCGCTGCACTGTGAAGCTCTCACCAACCCCGTAGTTGTGTCTGCAGTAATTGTCCACCCGGCCCCGCTTCTGCTCCAGGAGGTCCTTCTGGCTGTTCCAGGACTCGGCGACAGGCCGCCCCAGCTCCGTCACCGCCCGGTACTCCCCCACGTCGCTGTCGAAGCGCAGGAACTCCTCCTGGTTATGGAAGTATCTGTCCAGGTACCGCACCCGCTCCGTCCCATTGAAGAAATGACACTCAGACTTACGCAGCTCCAAGAAACGTGCTGCGGGTACACGAAGGATCCGGTCACACGGGCGGCCTCCTGAGAAGACACTGACAGCGACGCCGCCATCCGGGGCTCCCTGGGTGGGGTGCGGGCACTGGGAACCTTAACCGGCCCCACCCGCAACGCCCACCACCTGCAGCCCAGGAGCTCATCCTCCGTTTTCCTCAGGCGAACGGGGGCCTAGGGGACTATGCGGGAAAACCCCTTCTCATCCCCAGGCTTTTGGGACCCCCTCCCTGCCTCCAGCTTGTTCTGGAGACCTCCAAGCAGGAGCTGGAGGAGGATCCGCCCCGCACCGCAGCCCGCCCCGCCTCCTCCTAGGAGCCTCCACCCCAAAGACACTCTGCTCCTTCTCTCATCCCACATGTTTACCGGTTCCTTAAACAGCACCCACCGCGTTCATCCTGTGAACACTTTCTTAGTGATGACCTTGTGCCAGGCCTGCGCTGCCTCTAGGAATCCAAACAAGGGAAAACAGACCTCTCCACTCCGCTGGGGGAGCTTAAAGAGCAGTGAAAGCGATGGCCAAAAACCAGACACACAAGAGGTTAGACAGGAATGAGAAATCCCGGAAGTGGGAAGTTCTAGAGCAGAGAATAATAGGATGATCTCAATTACATTAGGGTGCCAGAGAAGGACCCTCTGAAGAGTGACAGTTCAGATGTGACTTGACAGGTTAAGCAGGTGTGAGCCAGGGGGCAGAGTGGAGCCCGTGTCTGTTTGGACAAAACGGGAGGCACATTTCAGGTTTAGGAAATCCCATGTACAAAAGCTTGAATTGATGAACTTCTTCAAAAAACTAGGAGAAAGTTCACTAAAGCAGAGAGGCTGAGGGGAAGGAGGGTAAAAGGTTAGCCTGGAGAAATCACAAGAAGCCAGGTATTGAAAGCCTCGTGGGTGGCGTTAGGATTTTGGATTTATAGTAAGACAATGGTAAAGTATCGAAGAGTTTAAAGGACAATAAAACCATGATCCCTGTAAATGTCCACAAACTTTCCTTTGCATTTCTAAATTCACAAAGCTCAGAAATTCAGTTTAAAAAACTTGTTTCCACAACTCATTTGGCAAATCGCATCTGATAAGGGTAAGTGGTCAAAGGTGTCTCAGAGCTCTTATTGGCGACATGTGCTTCTGTAGTTTCCATACATATAAACATACATACATATATGTGTGAAAATAGACACATATGTAAAACACAGTATATATTTTTGATGTTTTTGTCTTTATGTTTGAAGTGTGAAAACGACAAAAATAACTTAAAAATAATCCTTGGGTAAAAGTGAAATGAGTACATAGAAGCATTTTACATTGTGAATAATATCAAATGTAGAATCACTACAGAAATCTGAGGCATGTTACTGAGAAATAATTTCAGCAGCATCACTATTTGTGACTTACAAGAGCAAGTTGTTGGAAGTTAATAGAGATGGTGATGACCAACAACTCATGAAAATGTTGAAAAATATTGCATAAGGCAAAAACTAAATATGAAAATATTAAGCTTGCATTGACTAAGTGGATTCAACAAGAAAGTGGTTGAATTTATGCAACTGTCTAATTTTTTTATAATGGAACAAGCAAAAATAAACTATAAAAAACAACTGTGTGGTGAGTGTATAACAGATGTGAGTGTAGAATTTTCAAAAAGAGCACAGCGTGAACCAGTGCTCTCAGCCTCAGCACTATTGACATTTTGGACCAGATAATTCTTTGTTGATGGCGGAGGCTGTTCTGAACATTGTAGGTTCTCTAGCAGTGTTCCTGGCTTCTACTCATTAAATATCAGAAGAAACCCCTGTTGTGACAACCAAAAATTGTTCCAAACATTGTCACTGTTCCCCAAGGATGATGGGAGGGAAGGGAGGGGTGGTGAACTATCCCTGGGTAAGAACTACAGGTGTGAACCATCTGAAAAAATCTGTGTTGAACAAGCTACTATTAGTTATGGAGCAGCTGAGAATTGTATTGAAAAATATTTCTTGAAAATCTTGGTCCTAGGTAAAAAGAATGTTTTGTAGAATTCTGGTCCCAATACAGTGCTATCTTTTCAGAAAATGAACTTGATGAGAACCAAGATTTAATGATTTCCTTGCCTTACCAAGCAGTCACTAATCATATCATTTATCATTCACATCATCTTTTTTCTTAATTTCTCCGCCACTGGTCCACTAATTATCTATAGTAATGAATCACAACCACAGCTATTTTATTCCCATTAAATGCCCCAACTAACTCATTTCTCTCAGTCTCCCACTCCCAACAATGCTAGCAGGCATCACATTTCCAGCCTTGGCCAGAGGCAGAACTCTTGGTTTTGTAGTCAAGTCCCCTCAGAAAGGGAGAAACCAAGAAAATGACATTCTGATACAGACAGTTTCAAAACATGAGCAGGTCCCCAGACTGTGAGCAAGACCTGCAGAAATCTCCCTTTGCCCTTTAGAAACGATGGCAGAGAGGTGTCCACCCTGGATCAAACAATGTCTATCTTTTTATCCCTAAATTATCTAAGCACTTTCTTACAGAGAGAAAGTTAAAATGTAAACATGTGTAAAGTTGCTGTCACTGTGGCTTGCATGGGTAGCACTGTAATCCATGTCCATGTGTCCCACTTAGGGTTGACAGATTTGGCAAATAAAACCAGAGGGTACCCAATTAAATTTGGATTTCCAATAAATTATGGTCGTGTATCTGAAATTTAGATTTAACTAGGAACATGTGTTTTATTTGGTAACTCTTGCCCAATTTGCTAGTCAAACCTCAGAAGAAGGAGTGATTTAATACTTCCTTGTGTTTGTCAACGCATGACCATTATAGACATACTGAACTTTTAAAATGATAAATGCAAAATCATTGAAAGTTTCTCCTATACATTGGAATTAGCAGCCCTTGCATCTCTGTCCCCACTCAAAGAAACAACCTGGTATATATGAATATCAGAAATTCTGTCAATAATTCAGACACAATATAGTCACTACTCACTAATGATGGAAAAACTCTCAAACCCTACAATCAGAAAATCTGAATAAAAAGGTGACCTCTTCTACTTGGGTCAATTTTTACCAACCGTAAGCCTTTTTGTAATATATCAAATGCATTTAATAATAGCATAATCCTCACAGGATTACTGTTAAGTGTAAAATTAAATGATGACTCTTCTTAGCACTGATCACATAATAAACACTCAAATACATTCCCATTTTAACTTTTATGATCCCTATAACTGTAGCTCACATTATTTTTTGTATTCCTTAATTCTAAAGCAATTAGTATCTTCATGATTTTGCAATTGTCTTCTGTTCTTCTATGAGTTTCATAAAGAATTGTCATTCTGAAAACATAGGGCAGAAACACTGGTTTATGTCTAATAATGTAGTATACCTAAACCTCACATAAAAGGCATCTGCTGACATAGAAGAAAGGGACTTTCTATATGCTCAGATTTAAACTGCAATCTGATTTCCAGCACTAAATTTCTAATACTGGGTTTTACTTATAACCTCTCAATTTTAGATTCCAGAGATGTATATGTTTTTAAATACCACAGATACAGCAGGATCATTATTGAAATTGCATACAGAAATTCACAGGCCTGGTACACAGTCACTGCAAACTGTTACATGGCATATACTGATGGCGAGCGGATTCATTTTATTTATCACCACTCTCATGACCTAGAGTAATAACTGGTATATTCTATGTCACTAATAAATATTGGCTCTGTGAAATACTGGCTGTGTTAAATATTGGCTGTGTGACCTTTTGCATGAGTAGTCACCACTGCACACAGGGGCTCTCCAGTATTTCCTTGCTAATGACTGAGCATCTCTTGTTCACAGGTCTTCCTCCGTCTCTTTAGCTTCTTTAGCCTTTTCCTTTAGATTCAGCGGGCTCCCTGAACCCAGAGCACAGTCCTTCCCGAAGTTCTACTCAAAACAGTCAACCTTAACCTCGTCCTCACTTCTACTCACTCTTCAAATAGTCCAATCCAGTTTCCTCCCTGGATACTCCATTGACTACAAATATCAACTCCACCAAACCCAGCACTTGCTTCTCTGTCACGTTCTCACTTCCCCCTCTGCTTAGTGGTACTCACCACAATTGGCCTCTCCCTTCTCCCTGAAAAAAATATATTTTCCTTGACTTACACGCATTATGTTCTCTTGGTTTTTCTCCAACATCCCTGGGCTCTGTCTCAGCCCACTTTGCTGGCCTGTGCCCTCTTCTTTTTTCTCCACACAATCCATCTCCCTATGTATCCTCTTCCACTCCCTAGAATTTAACACACTACACGTATTGATGCCGCCAACATAAATATCTGACGCCCTAGCCTCACCTCACCATGAGTCTCTTAAATGCCACTGACCTTCTGATTGCTCTACATAAATGTCAATAAATCATCTCTAATTTAAACAAAACTTTTATTTCCAACCACCCACTTCAAATCATTTCCTCCCACAGTTTTTCCTATCTCAATAAACAAAACTACCACCCACTTATTTGTCAAAACAAAATCCTCAGGAATAAACTTGATTGTTCCACCCCCTTTACAGTAATTCATTAACAAGCTAAGCAAAAATACATGCCAAGCCTGTCCACTTTATCTTTTTCACCGTCTTTATCACTAATGCACTCCATGAAGCCACAAGCCTGTTTTCCCTGGAGAATTCCCTGCTGTGCTCCTAAATAGTCCTCCTAACCACTTGTGAACCCCAACAATCCAATCCCCACAAAGTAGCTAGAATTAATTGTAATAATTGAATATAAGCTGGGCGCAGTGGCTCATGCCTGTAATCCCAGCACTTTGGGAGGCCGAGGCGGGTGGATCACAAGGTCAGGAGATCGAGACCATCTTGGCTAACACGGTGAAACCCCATCCCTACTAAAAATACAAAAAGTAGCCGACTGTGGTGGCATGCACCTGTGGTCCCAGCTACTCAGGAGGCTGAGGAAGGATAATTTCTTGAACCCAGGAGGCGGAGGTTGCAGTGAGCCGAGATTGTGCCACTGCAATCTAGCCTGGGCAACAGAGTGAGACTCCATCACACACACACACAAAAGTTGAATATAAATTGACTCTCCTTGTAACCATACAGCAGCTTCTCATATCTATTTAAATAAAATTCAGTCCGGGGGTGGTGGCTCACGCCTGTAATCCCAGCACTTTGGGAGGCCAAGGCAGACAGATTATCTGAGGTCAGGAGTTCAAGACCAGCCTGGTCAACATGGTGATACCCCATGTATACTAAAAATACAAAAAAATTAGCCAGGTATGGTGGTGGGTGCCTGTAATCCCAGTTACTTGGGAAGCTGAGGCAGGAGAATCACTTGAACCCAGGAGGTGGAGGTTGCAGTGAGTGGAGATTGTGCCATGGCACTCCAGCCTGGGCAACAAGAATGAAACTCCATCTCAAAATAAATAAATAAATAAAATTTAAAAATAAATAAAAATAAAATAAAATTCAAATTTTTTACCGTGGACATCAGAGCCTATAATGATGAGGCTCCTGACTTCCTCTCTGTGTCCTACCTCATCTTCTGCCTCTCCATTTCCTTGCTTTCTATACGTCAGCCCTTCTAGCCTTCTTTCTCTCCCTCCACATAATTTCCCACACCAGTGCTTTCCCTCGATTCGGTCTCCCTGAAACTTTCGTCCGTTAGATCTTCATGACTGTCTACTTATTTTGTTGTCTCAGCTGAATATCACTTTCTCAGGTAGAGCTCCCTAAACATACAAACTAAAGTAGATGAATCCATTTCTCTCTTTCAACACACATCTGATGTCTTTTCTTCAGTGCACTATGACTCTCTAACATTATCTTCTTTGTTAAATGCTTATTGGGTTAGTGTCTGTCTCCTCCACTCTTGTAACTTCCTTGAGAGTTGGGACCCTCTCTATCTTAATCAAATAGAATGATTTGAACCTAGAATGGAACCCAGTACACAGTAGCTGCTGAGAAAAATAAGTGTGGTTTACACAAATAAACCAGGGTATGGGAACTGATCACTGTGGGGATCCTGGAAAGCAAGAAGGGGCTCAAGTTCCAGCACTCTTTCATTTTGATGTCACACTAGACCCCTTCTCCTCCTGGTGAGAAATACAGGCAAACTTCTTTCTCCTTCTTCTAGTTGGAAGAAGAATTCATGGATAAAGGAACAGTGATTTAAGAAAAAGGAAATCTTTTTATTAAGAGTCATCTCTTTTGCCTGGGCACACTGGCTCACATCTATAATCCTAGCATGTTGGGAGGCTAAGGCAGGAGGATTGCTTGAGTTCAGCAGTTTAAGACCAGCCTGGGCAATATGGCAAAATCTCCTCTCTACCAAAATTGCAAAAATTAGCTGGGCGTGGTTGCCTGCCTGTATTCCCAGCTACTCTGGAGCCTGAGGAGGGAGGATTGCTTGAGTGTGGGAGGCAGAGGTTGCAGTGAGCCTCGATCGCACCACTGAGCTACAGCCTGGGTGACAGAGGCAGGCCCTATCTCAAAGAGAAAAATATTATCTCTTTCAGTGGATCTCATAGTGCTAAGGATCTGTGCAAGCTTTAGAGATTTCTGGAAATGATGACAACATAGTTGGGGAAAAATAGAGAGAAATGGGAGGAAGAGGTAAGCAGACATGGCTAATTAAGGAAAGCTGAGGGCATGATGGGTGAACCTATGAAACTGAGGACAAGACCGCAGTAAGACAATGAGTTTCCAGGACTTGCCCATTGACTTTCAGCCCTATGAGATGTGAACAATGTCCACATTGTCTCGGTAACCCCACACAGTATATAGTTTGAACATTATTAAATTTCTGATATTTGATTATTTTTGACTTACAAAAATAGAATTTCATATAATTTATACTACATTAGTTAAATCTCTTCTGTCATGTCTAGTTAGAGCATGTAGGAGATGTAGGAGAAACAAGTATAGAAAGGTTAAAAAGATTCATAATAAACACTAACCTGGGCCAGTTTTTCAGAGGATGCCTTAAGTTCTTTAGGCACCAAAGAATACCTCATAAGTGCTCTGTATCTGTAAGGTGATTCCAAGTACTAATGATCTCAGCTTCAGTTCCAGGGATTTTTCCCCATAAGAAAGAAAGAGCACTAAGTATAACTTCTGTCAGACAACCTACATACACTACAGGGATACAGGCTTTATAAACATTGGAGTTCAGAAAGAAAAGAAAGGAGATACTAGGGAGGCCACTGGGTCCATCCTCACATATGAGGAAGAGGGGCCAACACCACAGGTCCTGTGGAGGACATAACCCAGGATCGTCTAGGAGAGACCCTTTGAATTCCCTTGACTCCCACAAAATTTTCAGTAAAAACCTCCTTTTGTCTGACATAAGTCAACATAATAAAGGGAATTGCTGTATGGGGAATTTATTTTAGCATCCTTATTTCCAAATCCTCTAAAGACCCTGAGTACATGTGATGCAAAGGTTTTATTGGTGGAGATTTGAGAAGAAATGGCCTGTACAAAGGCCCCTTACACAAGTCTCATGGAGAGGGCAAGTAGCCAAGTTCCTTTTGTGGAGGAAATAATTTGCGATCCCTTGATAAAGATGAGCAATCTCTGAAGAAAACCTCACAATTTCTTAAGGGACATGGCCTGGGCACAATGTTAACACAACTCCCTATATTCCCCCACCCCATAGTAGCTCAGCACCCTCAATGTGCTCTTACGTCGGGTGTCCCCAGCGAAAGCCAGTCGGGAGCTCAGCACCATCAGTGTCACTGTCAACGCTGCCAAGCTGGAGCCTCCAGGGAGCTTCAGACACACCATGCTGGAGAAGAGGACAGGACCAGGGGCCAGAGGAGCAGGCAAGTCTCACTCAGGGAGAACTATGACCCCCCTCCACCCACATTCCAAATTATAGGGAGGAAGTTACTGATTTCCTTGCTCCTGGATTGGGTAATCTCGTGTCGGAGAACCAATCAGCATCTGAGTTCAACAGCATCATCAGTTGCTGCTCAGAGATGCTGTATGAAGGTCCTCTTCTGAAATAATTTCATTCTTTAAAGGATTGTTTTAATTTAGTACTTGAAAGGTTTGAACCAGTTGCATGTAAAACACTTTAATTGGGGAGCTATTGTGAGCCAGCTCTGTGCTGGTCAGTGATGTGTTCACAAGTTTGAGCCTTGTAAGAGCATTCATTTCCCACTTGACAAGACAACTGTTTGCAGAAGTGAGTGTGTGAGTGTGTTTAAGAGTAAAGGAGACGGAGGGAACATGGTTGTAAATCCGGAGTCCTTTAATCTTGTCTTTATTGTACCATATCTTAATGTCACAGATTTGGGAAAATTACTTCATGTCTCACAGTTGAAATGAAGGCACTGCGATCTTTCAGGTCTTTCAATACTGGAAAATTCTGTGATTCTCTAGATGCCTCAAGGAGCGGCAGCCCCAGGTATCTGATAATATGACAGAATGACAGCTATTGACTAGAGAGTGTAATATGTACCTATTTCCAGGTAGTGATGTCTTTAATAAGTTAAAGGAAATTGAAAGTCTGTTAATAATTTAATCTGAGTAAAAATATCTTTTTCAAGCGTGTCTCCTGATGCTGCCCCCAGGTTTAGCGGCACCTCCAGAACACACACAGGAATGGGCTAACAGGGGCCACCTATGTGCAATGGAGGGTCTGAAGGTGCCTTTGTACGGCACTTACCCTAACAATGTGATAAGGTCAAGTGTGCAATCCAGGTATTCGTGGGTCTGAGAGATCGATCAAAGACTCTCAAAGTCAGCCGTTCACAGAACAACTCTTTTTTTTCTTCTTCTTTTTTGAGACAGAGCCTTGCTCTGTTGCCCTGGCTGGAGTGCAGTGGCATGATCTTGGCTCACTGCAACCTCCGCCTCCTCGGTTCAAACAATTCTCCTGCCACAGCCTCCCGAGTAACTCTGACTACAGGCACGTGCCTCCACGCTTGGCTAATTTTTTGTATTTTTAGTGGAGATGGGGTTTCACCGTGTTAGCCAGGATGGTCTCGATCTCCTGACTTCGTGTTCTACACCAGCAGTGTAACCCCAAACTGCTGGGGTTACTGGCGTGAGCCATCATGCCTGGTCACAATTCTGTTTTAAAATAATGAATATTTTATATGAAGAGTGTTCAGTCCCTCATTCCTGGTTCCCATTATGATTTCCTCATTTGATTGAGGCTATAGCACTTTACTATTATGTTTCTCTTGTTTTATCATAAGGGAGGATATAAGACGACTTTGCTAACTAATACATTTTTGAATGTTCAGGAAAGAGAACACTAGGGAAAACTATGAATTACATCAGTTGATGTAACCATATAATATTAAACATATTATATACATTTAGATAATTATTATGCTTTTTATTAATATAAATGTAACATCTAAGATTCAGAATGGACTTCAAAGTACAACTATACTTATAGCGTTCTGCATTAATTCACATGCTACCACATAGGCACTCATTCCTTATAGGCCTTAGTGTTTCCAGGGGCAGGATTCTCATCATGCTGCCGTAAAAATGAGCATTTTACTTTATACTCAGAATTGCACTAAGTGCTTTTTATACTTCATATTTTTATTTCATTCTCACATCAACTCACTAAAATAAATACCCTTTTCATGCTTACAGGTAGAGAGAATAAAACAATGGAGATGAAACAACTTTTGCAAAGATACAAAGCTAGTAAATGGTACACTATAGATTGAACCAAATTATATATCCCTCAGGCTCAGCCACTATATCATAATCCTTCACATCCTATTTCTGAGAATAATGTCCTATGTATTAAAATTATTTATATTCCTATAATTTATGGATGCACATAGCAATATGGCTACTTATGTTAATGAATGGCAGCAGTATACGATTTGAGGAAGATACTGTGTAGCAATTCTAGTTCCTTCAAAAGAATCACCTCATTATCATCCTTACCCTCCTCTGGAAATGACAACATTTACATTTATCTTATGTGATGACACCCATAGCTCCTGAGAAGTCTCCTTCTTATTAAAGGTAACAGTGACCTCAAAATTCCCAAATATAAACTATTGCTCAGAATTATTATTGCAGATTTCTCATCATAAAGTAGTAAATTTGATCATCTCAAAACAGAAGAAAAAAAGTGCCTCACTTACTTTGGAAAAACATACTTCTATTAATATAAAAAGTTCAAAATTTCATGGGAAAAAGTCACTACTGTCCCTGGATTTGAGAATAAACTATGTCTCTATACCACAATAATAATTCAATACTATGGGAATTTGTGAAATTGCAACCAGAATATCACATTTAATTTGGTCAACAGAAAATAATAATTTACTTAGAAGCTAATTTAATCCCAGCTACTCGGGAGGTGGGTGGATTGCTTGAACCTGGAAGGTCCACGCTGCAGTGATCCAAGATCATGCCACTGCATTCCAGCCTGGGTGGCAGATGGCAGACCCTGTAAAGAAAAAAAAAAAAAAAGGAAAAGAAAGAAAGAAAAAAAAAGGAAAAGAAAGAAAGAAAAAAAAGAAAAGAAAAGAAGGAACAAACTGTGAAAAAAGAAACTAATTGAGATGATGGTAATCTAGGAAATCTGGCTAAGGTTCAGCTTAGTATTTTAGGATAAAAGGGTGGTGATGCTGGCAGTGGTGAGCTGTCCAGAGTGGCCGACTGCAGTGGGAAGTTGCAAGCGGTGGTGGCAGGAACGACTGCGGGAGCAGTGGCCATGGTGGAACCCCTGTGCCTCATGTCCCCTGTGCCTCACGTCCCTGAGGCAGCTGACTGTGATGCCCCAACCCTTGAGCAGCTGGCGGGACCGCCCCCAGGCCAGGAGCCTCCCACTCCTGCTTTGCTGCTCTCACCCTGCAGCTGTGGGGAGGGCATGGAACTGGGGCCAGGCTTGTTGGGCCTGGTTTGGGAAGTGGGAGTGGCCTCGCTTTGGGGACCCAGCCAGCGGCATGGTCACTGTCCCACCCACCCTGCTGAGGAAGCCCAGTTCCTGCGCCTCAGGAGGAGGTTCTGCCTGAGGTGGCCCAGAGCGGTGTCCCTGGGGTGGCCACCAAGCTTGATTTTCCCGACGGCCAGGCTTGGGTGTGATCTGCTCCACCACCCCATCCAGGCAAGGGGGAACCCCGGGCACCTCTGAGTGCTAGGGGAAGAACTTGCAGACACATCATCCTTGCCCCAGATGCTGGCATGGGAACAGGTGAGGGGAGCTGCCCACCCCAGGCTGTAAGAAGGTGTGACAGGGGCTACCTGCAGACTCCAAGGATTGAGTAGGAATCCTGCCCTCCATGCAGCAAGATCCAGGCCTCTCTGCACTCCACGCTGTCAAGGACGTGAAGCACCTCCTGTCCCTGCAGGCTTGCAGGTGTCTGCTCCCACTGCCTGGCCTCTCACCTGGCCTCTCCAGGCTCCCGGGTGCCTGCTCTGATCTCAGAGTGGAGTTGGGGCCAAGCCCCAGTGCTGTTACAGCCTAGCTGGGCGTGTGCATGCTCAGGGCAAAGTTGACACACCAGCCTCCTGCCACCTCAGCCACGGGGAAGCTGAGGGAAGATGGGCTGAGGGCAACTGGTGCTGGCCTACAGGCCCCTTGCCATGAGCAGCCTAGGTGCCATGGATGGCGCTGGGAGGCAGACAGTCTCCTGGGCAGAAGGGGGCAAGTCCCCAGTGAAGCCCCTCCTTCTGGCCAGGGAGGGTCTGAAGGCTGTGGGCTGGGCTGCCAGTCCTGCTGACACGAGTGGGAACTTGTGCATTTTCTGGGCCTGCCCCATGGCCAACCATGGTGCCCACTTTCTCCCCTCTGAGGCCTGTAAAAGCCCTGGGCTCAGGCAGAGTTGAACAGAGGATGGAGAGAGCAGAGAGAGAGGCCAGGGACATGAGGGATGAGTTGCTGAGGAGAGGGGTTACCCTCCCCAGGGTCTCCTCTCAGCTGCAGAGTGAAGCTGCCCTCACCAGGGTCTCCTCTCTGCTGAGAACTGAGGAGAGGACAGGACAATCAGCTGCAGAGAGGAGCCACCCTCTCTGTTGATAGCTGAACAGATGTCGGGGCAACCTGGCAGTGGAGAGGAGCTGCCCACTGTGGCTCTCTGAGCTGTTCTATTGCTTAATAAAGCTCCTCTTTGTCCTGCTAACCCTTTACTTGTCTGGGTACCTCATTCTTCCTGGACGCAGGACAGGAACCTGGGATCTGCCTAATGATGAGGCTAAAAAAGCTGTAACACAAACAGGTTGTAGATGAGCAATAGAGAATGTAGTCAAATGCAGACAAACATGGAATGAAAAAGCAAAAATAAATCCATATCATTCCATGTAACAAGACCATTTTTTAAAAGTAGTTTTAAGTGGACAGAAAAATTGCAGAGAAAGTTCATGGAGGGCTGGGCGCGGTGGCTCACGCCTGTAATCCCAGCACTTTGGGAGGCCGAGGCGGGCGGATCACGAGGTCAGGAGATCGAGACCATCCCGGCTAAAACGGTGAAACCCCGTCTCTACTAAAAATACAAAAAATTAGCCGGGCGTAGTGGCGGGCGCCTGTAGTCCCAGCTACTTGGGAGGCTGAGGCAGGAGAATGGCGTGAACCCGGGAGGCGGAGCTTGCAGTGAGCCGAGATCCCGCCACTGCACTCCAGCCTGGGCGACAGAGCGAGACTCCGTCTCAAAAAAAAAAAAAAAAAAAAAAAGAAAGTTCATGGAGCCCTTCTTCCCTAAAGCAGCCTTCTGCTTAATTTCTCCTATTCTTAACATCCTGCATCGGTGTGGTATACTTGTTACCACTGATGAAGCAATACTGATACTTGTTGTTAACTGAGATCCATAGTGAAATTAGGGATCATTCTTATTATACAGTTCTATGGGTTCTGATAAATATATTATGTCATATATCCACCATTTAGTGGAACTGACCCAAGAGTCCCATAGGCAGTTTTTTTTTTTTTTAAATAAACATAGAAATGGACACTTCTGGTCTTAAAGCTTGAAACTTACATTTGTTTTATTTGAGTTCCTTTCCAAAAAAATATTCTCCCAGGCCTCTCAAAAAGTATCAAAGAACTGGAACTCACCAGATCGTCTCATCTAGTCAATGAGACTCCAGGTTCCCCATTCATTATGATTGCTCCCTTACCCCTCCCTAGTTCCTGTTTTCTCATACATAGGTAAATTTTTCCCTGCTAGATAAACTCCCAATTTTAGTCAGTCACAGAGATGGATTTGACACTGGTCTCCCATCTCCTCAGCTGCACCACCTGATTAAAGATTAAAGCCTTCTTCTTTGGCAACACTCATTGTCATCTCAGTGATTGGCTTTCTGTGTGGTGAGCAGCAAGACCCAGACTGAAGCCCTTGTGTGCAAGACTTAGACTGAACCTCTGGTGTTTCAGTGACAAAATTATCCTATGAAGTAGTTTCGCTCACCTAAAATTGTCCCAGGCTCCACCTACTCATGCACTCCTCTTCCTCCTGAATCCCTGGAAACCACTATTTACTGTCACTGTATTTATGCCTTTTCCAGAATGTTATATAGTTGTAATCATATGGTGTATAGTTTTTTCAGACTGGCTTCTTCACATAACAATATGCATATAGGTTTTCTCCATGTCTTTTCCTAGCTTGATAGCTTATTCCTCTTTAATGTTGAATAACAACCCATGGTATGGATCTACCACAATTTATCCACTCACTTACTGGAGGACATCTTGGTTGCTTTGAATTTTTGGCAATTATAAATAAAGCTGCTATAAACATTGGTGTACACTTTTTTGTGTGGACAGAAGTTTTCCACTTATTTGGGCAAATATTTAGGATTGCAATTGCTGAATCTTGTGGTAGAGTATGTTTGGCTTTGGAAGAAACAGCCAAAGTGTCTTCCAGACAAGCCAGGGGAACAGGGTCTGGAGGCAGGGAACCTAAGGCCGTTTCATGTTGACATCCGAATGGAACTAAACTGAAAGGAAAACTCAAACTTCCTATGCCTAAGTAGCAGAAGGATCAAAGACTACTCCCTTTGTAACCCGCCCCCCATTTTCTGCGTGGTAAATGTGAAATTCAAAGTACCTCTGATTGGTTGTTTTTTGCAACCAGTCAGATATTTGCATAGGAGTGTAGCTTTGTAACTTCATTTCGGTCTCTGATTGGTTGCGGAATTGTTTTCCTCAAAATTTCTACAGCCTAGCGATAAAAATCCTAGAAAAGCAAAATAAGCACAAACCAAGGTGGCATAACCTTGTAAGACTTAATGAATAAATAACGAGTTTCTTTACCAATGGTTTAGAGAAAGCAGACTCTTGAGAATGTTGCAAATAGAATAAGTGTTTGCTAACATATCTATAATTTTAATATAAAATAAATAGGTGAACAATAGAGAACACAATTGTGGGGAAAAGAAAGAGAGATCAGATTGTTACTGTGTCTGTGTAGAAAGAAGTAGACATAAGAGACTCCATATTGTTCCGTACTAAGAAAAATTCTTCTGCCTTGAGATGCTGTTAATCTGTAACCCTACCCCCAACCCTGTGCTCCCTAAGACATGTGCTGTGTCAACTCAGGGTTAAATGGATTAAGGGCTGTGCAGGGTGTGCCTTGTTAAACAAATGCTTGAAGGCAGCATGCTTGTTGAGAGTCATCACCACTCCCTAATCTCAAGTACCCAGAGACACAAAACACTGCAGAAGGCCGCAGGGACCTCTGCCTAGGAAAGCCAGATATTGTCCAAGGTTTCTCCCCATGTGATAGTCTGAAATATGGCCTCGTGGGAAGGGAAAGACCTGACCGTCCCCCAGCCTGACACCCGTAAAGGGTCTGTGCTGAGGAGGATTAGTGAAAGAGGAAGGAACTCCTCTTTGCAGTTGAGATAAGAGGAAGGCATCTGTCTCCTGCTCGTCCCTGGGCAATGGAATGTCTCAGTGTAAAGCCCGATTGTATATTCCGTCTGCTGAGATGGGGGAAAACCGCCATAGGGCTGGAGGTGGGACATGCTGGCAGCAATACTGCTCTTTAAGGCATTGAGATGTTTATGTATATGCACATCAAAAGCACAACACTTTTTTCTTTACCTTGTTTATGATGCAGAGACATTTGTTCATGTGTTTACCTGCTGATCTTCTCTCCACTATTATCCTATTGTCCTGCCATATCCCCCTCTCCGGGAAACGCCCGATAATGATCAATAAATACTAAGGGAACTCAGAGGCCCGTGCCGGCGTGGGTCCTCCGTATGCTGAACGCCGGTCCCCTGGGCCCATTTTTCTTTCTCTATACTTTGTCTCTGTGTCTCTTTCTTTTCCAAGTCTCTCGTTCTACCTGATGAGGAACGCCCACAGGTGTGGAGGGGCAACCCATCCCTTCATACACTCAAACTCAGACAAGTATGGAATGAAAAGCAAAAGTAAGTCCATATCCTCCCATGTAACAAGACCATTTTTAAAGCAGTTTCAAGTGTACAAAAAACTTTCAAGAAAGTTTAGGGAGTTCCCACATACCTCCTTCCCTAAAACAGCCCTCTGTTCAGTTTCTTCTATTATTAACATCCTGCATTAGTGTGGCACACTAGTATTAATGAACCAATACTGATACTTATTGTTAACTGAGGTTCATAGTTATATTAGAGTTCACTCTATTACACAGTTCTATGGGTTCTGATAAATACATAATGTCATGTGTTTACCATTAAAGTGAAACCAATGCAATAGTCCCATAGATAATTATTTGGATAAACATAGAAATTATTGTATGGTAAGTGTGTGTTTAGCTTTGTAAGAAACAGCGAGTGTCTTCCAAAGTGGCTATACTGTTTTGCATTCCCAACAGCAATGAATCAGAGTCCCCATTGTTCTATATCCTTGCCAACATTTGGTTTTGTGAGAGTTTTGGATTTTGGCCAGGAAAAAAAAAGCTTTTTAAAAATTTTTACTTGAAAATCATTATAGATTCACAGGAAATTGGCAAAGACAGTACAAAGGACGTATGCATACCCTTTCACGGAGCTTTTCCAAATGTTTATGTTAAGCAGCTCTAGCACAGTAGCAAAACCAGGAAACTGACTTCGATATGATATGTGTTCATAGTTCTATGCCTGTGTCTTATCATATTTGCAGATTTATGTATCCACCACGCAATCCAGTGGAGAGCTATTCCATCCCACAGAGATCTCCCCTCATGTTGCTTTTTAGAGTCACACACTAATCCCTACACATCATCACCCTGACAACTACTAGTCTCTTCTCCACCAATCTCTATAATAGCGTCACTTTGAAAATGTTACATAAATAGAATCACACAGTATGTGACTTTTGTGACTGGCATTTTCCCCACAGCATAATGTCCTTGAGATCCATCCAAGTTGTTGCATGTATCAACAATTTTTTTTTTTTATTGCTAAGGAATACTCCATCAGATGAATGCACTGCAGTTTAACTATTTGCCTGTTGAGGGACATTTGGCTGTTTCTAGTTTTGGGGTTATTACAAATAAAGCTGTTGTGAACATTTGTGTAAGATTTTTGTGTGAATATGTGTTTTTATTTCTCTGATATAAATGTCTCAGAATGTTATTCCTGACTCATATGGCAAATATATGTGTAGTTCTTCAAGACACTGCCAAACAACTTTCTAGAAGTGAGAGGTGAAGCCAGCTGGGCTTCTGAGTTGGGTAGGGACTTGGAGAACTTTTGTGTCTAGCTAAAGGATTGTAAACACACCAATCAGCACTCTGTAAAAACGCACCAATCAGCACTCTGTAAAATGGACCAATCAGCTCTCTGTAAAATGGACCAATCAGCAGGATGTGGGTGGGGCCAAATAAGGGAATAAAAGCTGGCCACTCGAGCCAGCACCAGCATCTGGCTTGGGTCGCCTTCTACGCTGTGGAAGCTTTGTTCTTTTGCTCTTCATGATAAATCTTGCTGCTGCTCGCTGTTTGGGTCTGCACTACCTTTATGAGCTGTAACATGCACCACAAGGGTCTACAGCTTCATTCCTGAAGTCAGCGAGACCATGAACCCATCAGAAGGAAGAAACTCCAGACACATCTGAACATTGGAAGGAAGAAACTCCGGACACACCATCTTTAAGAGCTGTAACACTCACTGCGAAGGTCTGTGGCTTCATTCTTGAAATCAGCAAGACCAAGAACCCACGAGAAGGAATAAATTCTGGACACATTTGGCAACCCAGATGGGACACATTTTGGCGACCACAAAGGGACACATTTTGGCACCCCACATGGGACAGTCACCTATCGCCAAGCTGTGAGTACCTTCAGACCCCTTTCACTTGCTATTCTGCCCTATTTTTCCTTAGAATTTGGGGGCTAAATACCAGGCACCTGTTGGCCAGTTAAAAGTGACTAGTGTGGCCACTGGACTAAAGACACGGGTATCAGGCTTTCTGGGAAAGGGCTCTCTAACAACCCTTGACTATTTGGAGTTGGGAGCATTGGTTTGCATGGAACCAGCTTCTGCTTTTCCTGTACTTCTGGGCTGAGCCAAAGGTCAACAGAGAGGAAAGCCATTCAGCTCAGGGGTCCCAACAACAAGTTGGTCGACGCTGCAGCCATGAGCAGAACTCTCAAAGTTACTTGCCTGAGTGAGACTCGCCTGTCTATCCTATCTATCCTGACCCTTGCCCAAGGGTCCTAATGCCTGTCGGACAAACTTCCTCTTGCCTCTCTTCTCTGAGGTGAGTCCTGCTTCTAAAAACCACTCCCTGTTTCTGGAATTTCTAGTTTCTCCTATAAGAATTATTTCTAGTACAAACTCCAGGACTCTATTCCCTTCTTTAGGCACTCAGGCTCACCAATCAGAAAGACATAATTTTTGCCCAAAACCTCATTGGGTGGGGAGACCAACTATCCTTTTAGGATTCTTCCTCAGACTAACAGGCTTAACAAAAGCTATTCCTGAAGCTAGGATATGGGGAGCTTCAGAAATGATATCCTTTGTATTCGAGTGAGGACAAAAGGCATCACTCTTCCAACCCTGGAGATCTCTTCTCTCCCTCAGGGTGTGGCCCTCCATTTCATTTTTGGGGCATAACATCTTTATAGGACAGAGGTAAAGTCTCAGTGTTAACAGGAGAATGCTTAGGACTCTAACAAGTTTTCGATCAGTGCATCAGTAAGGGCCACTAAATCCTATTTTTCTTGGTCCTCTTTGTGATCTAGGAGGACAGGCAAGGGTGAAGTTTTTCGAGAATGCGTCTGTAAGGGCCACTAAATCTGACCTTCCTCAGTCCTCCTTGTGGTCTAGGAGGAAAACTAGTGTTTCTGCTGCTGCGTTGGTGAGTGCAACTATTCCAATCAGCAGGGTCCAGGGACCGCTGCAGGATCTTGGGCAAGAGGTATTTCTGCTCCTGCATTGGTGAGTGCAACTATTCCGATCAGTGGTTCCAGGGACCATTGCAGGTTCTTGGGCAAGAGGGAGAAGCAAACAAACCAAAACCATGGATGGTTTTGTCTTTCAGATGAGAAACACTCAGGCACCAACATACTCACCCTTGAAATGCATCCTAAGCCATTGGGACCAATTTGACCCACTAACCCTGAAAAAGAGGTGGCTCATTTTTTTCTGCACTACAGCTTGGCCCCAATATTCACTCTCTGATGGGGAGAAATGGCCACCTGAGGGAAGTATAAATCACAATACTATCCTACAGCTTGACCTTTTCTGTAAGAGGGAAGGCAAATGGAGTGAAATACCTTATGGTATGGGGTTATGTCCCCTTCAAGCTGTAAGGGGAGGGGAATTTGGCCCAGCCCAGGTACATGTCCCCTTCTCACTCTCTGATTTAAAGCAGATCAAGGCAAGGCAGACCTGGGAAGTTTTCAGATGATCCTGATAGGTACATAGATGTCCTACAGGGTCTAGGGCAAACGTTCGATCTCACTTGGAGAGATGTCATGCTATTGTTAGGTCAAACCCCGGCCTTTAATGAAAAGAATGAGGCTTTAGCTACAGCCCAAGAGTTTGGAGATACCTGGTATCTTAGTTAAGTAAATGATAGAATGACAGCTGAAGAAAGGGACAAATTCCCTACCAGTTGGCAAGCCATCCCCAGTATGGATCCCCACTGGGACCTTGACTCAGATCATGGGGACTGAAGTCATAAACATCTGCTGACCTGTGTTCTAGAAGGACTAAGGAGAATTAGGAAAAAGTCCATGAATTATTCAATGATGTCTACCATAACTCAGGAAAAGAAAGAGAATCCTTCTCCTTTCCTTGAGCAGCTATGGGAGGGCTTAAGAAAATATACTCCCCTGTCACCCAACTCAATTCACTAGAGGGTCAATTGATCCTAAAACATAAGTTTATTACCCAGTCAGCCACAGATATCAGGAGAGAGCTCCAAAAAGCGAGCCCTGGGCCCTGAATAAAATCTAGAGGCATTATTAAACCTGGCAACCTCGGTGTTCTATAATAGGGACCAAGAGGAACAGGCCCAAAAGGAAAAGTGAGATCAGAGAAAAGCCACAGCCTTAGTCATGGCCCTCAGACAAATAGAACTTGGTGGTTCAGAGAGAACAAAAAATGGAGCAGGCTAATCACCCAGTAGGGCTTGTTATCAGTGTGGTTTACAAGGACACTTTAAAGAAGATTGTCCAATGAGAAACAAGCGGCCCCCTTGCCCATGTCCACTATGCTGAGGCAATCACTAGAAGGTGCACTGCCCCAGAGGACAAAGGTTCTCTGGGCCAGAAGCCCCCAACCAGATGATCCAACAATAGGACTGAGGATGCCTGGGGCAAGTGCCAGCTCATGTCATCACCCTCACTGAGCCCCGGGTATGTTTAACCATTGAAGGCCATGAAATTGGCTTCCTCCTGGACACTGGCACAGCTTTCTCAGTGTTAATCTCTGGTCCTGGACAGCTGTCTACCATCCGAGGAATCCTGGGATGGCCTATAATAAGGTATTTCTCCCACCTCCTTGGTTGTAATTGGGAGACTTTGCTCTTTTCACATGCCTTTCTTGTTATGCCTGAAAGTCCCATACCATTTTAGGGAGGGACATATTAGCCAAAGCTGGAGCCATTATCTACATGAATATGGGGAACAAGTTACGCATTTGTAGCCTCCTGCTTGAGGAGGGAATCAACCCTGAAGTCTGGGCACTGGAAGAACAATTCAGAAGGGCAAAAAATGCCCGCCTAGTCCAAATCAGGCTAAAAGCCCCCAACACTAATGAATGCCTTCTCATCCCCTCTTTCAATCACTCTCTCAAATGGTTCCTAGTAGATACAAAACTTTTTTTCTCCAATGAGAAAATAGAACACAGGGAGCCACTCAGTTTGCTCCCAGCACCCCTTTCCAGCCACTCACCGGAGCTACATTGGCAAGTACTCTAGGAGTATGGGAAAATGAAAACAACAAACTCACACACATTTCCACATACACAACCAGTTCTGTCTATCCAGCCAAGGTATATTCTTCTTATGTGGAATGTCAACCTATATCTGCCTCCCCAATATCTGGACAGGCATCTACACCTTAGTCTTTCTAAGACCCAACATTAACATTGCCCCAGGAAATCAGACCCTATCAGTACCCCTCAAAGCTCAAGTTCATCAGCACAGAGCCATACAACTAGTACCCCTACTTATAGGGTTAGGAATGGCTACTGCTAGAGGAACCAGAGTAGCCAGTTTATCTACTTCATTATCCTACTACCACACACTCTCAAAGGATTTCTCAGACAGTTTGCAAGAAATAACGAAATCTATCCTTACTCTACAATACTCCCAAATAGACTCTTTGGCAGCAGTGACTCTTCAAAACCACCGAGGCCTAGACCTCTTCACTGCTGAGAAAGGAGAACTCTGCGCTTTCTTAGGGGAAGAATATTGTTTTTACACTAACCAGTCAGGGATAGTACAAGATGCCACCCAGTGTTTACAGGAAAAGTCTTGTGAAATCAGACAATGCCTTTGAAACTCTTATACCAACCTCTGGAGTTGGGCAACATGGCTTCTCCCCTTTCTAGGTCCTGTGACAGCCATCTTACTATTACTCGCCTTCAGGCCCTGTATTTTTAACCTCCTTGTCAAATTTGTTTCCTCTAGGATCGAGGCCATCAAGCTACAGATGGTCTTACAAAGGGACCCCAAATGAGCTCAACTAACAACTTCTACCAAGAACCCCTGGACTGAGCCACTGACCCTTTCACTGGCCTAAAGAGTTCCCTTCTGGAGGACACTACAACTGCAGGGCCCCTTCTTCACCCCTATCCAGCAGGAAGTAGCTAGAGAGGTCATCGCCCAATACCCAACAGCCGTTGGGGTGTCCTGTTTAGAGTGGGGATTGAGAGTTGAAGACCGCTGGGCTTCTGGGTCAGGTGGGGACTTGGAGAACTTTTCTGTTTAGCTAGAGGATTATAAATACATCAATCAGCACTCTGTGTCTAGCTAAAGGACTGTAAATGCACCAATCAGCACTGTGTAAAAACACACCAATCAGCACTCCGTGTCTAGCTAAAGGATTGTAAACACACCAATCAGCGCTCTGTAAAAAGGATCCATCAGCACACTGTAAAATTGACCAATCAATACTCTGTAAAATGGACCAATCAGCAGGATGTGGGCAGGGCCAAATAAGGAAATAAACGCTGGCCCCCCAAACCAGCAGTGGCAGCCGCTCAGATCCCCTTCCAAGCTGTAGAAGCTTTGTTCTTTTGCTCTTCACAATAAATCTTGCTGCTGCTCACTCTTTGGGTCCGGACTACCTTTATGAACTGTAATACTCACTGCGAGAGTCTGTGGCTTCATTCCTGAAGTCAGCGAGACCACAAACCCATCGGGAGGAACTAACAACTCCGGACGTGCCACTTTAAGAGTTGTAACGCTCACTGCGAAGGTCTGCGACTTCACTCCTGAAGTCAGCGAGACCACAAATCCACCGGAAGGAAGAAACTCTGGACACATCTGAACATCTGAAGGAAAAAACTCCGGACACACCATCTTTAAGAGCTGTAACATTCACCGCGAAGGTCCGTGGCTTCATTCTGGAAGTCAGCAAGACCAAGAACCCACCGGAAGGAATAAATTCCAGACACAGAAGGATAGTCCCATTTTACATTCTCACCATCAGTGTATGAGAAATTCAGTTTTTCTGCATTCTCAGCAGCATTTACCATTGTCATATTTTTTAGAGATTTTAGCTGTATTAAGAGTTGTGTGGTACTATTAGATCAAGTTCTTAATTTGCATTTCCCTGATGGCTAGTGATTTGCATGTCATTCATTGTGCTTATTTGCCATGTACATGTATCCTCTTTGATAAAATGTCTCTTCATATCTTTTGCCCATTTTGTAATTAAATTTTTTTTATTTTTGAGATGGAGTCTTGCTCTATTGCCCAGGCTGGAGTGCAGTGGCACGATCTTGGCTCACTGCAAACTCTGCCTCCTGGGTTCACGCCATTCTCCTGTCTCAGCCTCCTGAGTAGCTGGGACTACAGGCACTCACCAAAATGCCCGGCTAATTTTTTTTTTGTATTGTTAGTAGAGACGGGATTTCACCGTGTTAGCCAGGATGGTCTCGATCTCCTGACCTCGTGATCCGCCCACCTCGGCCTCCCAAAGTGCTGGGATTACAGGCGTGAGCCACTGTGCCTGGCCACAATTAAATGTTATAGTCTGCACTCTGCTATATATTTTATAGAAGAGCTTTTATAGTTGATTATATATTTTCGACAATGTATTCTTGGTAATATATGTGTTTTAAATATTTTCTCCGTATCTCTAACTTACTTTTCATTTCTTAACAGGATACTTTACAGAACAAAAGTTTTAAACTCTGAAGAAGCCTTATTTATTGTTTTTTTTGTTTGTTTGTTTTTGTCTTTTTGTTTTTTACACGTAGTGCTTTTGATGTCATGTCTGAGAACTCAGAATTCAGACAGCAGGCCCTAGGTTCTGATGATTTTCTCGTGTTTTCTTCTAAACGTTTTACATGTAGACATGATTTCATTGGGGTAAATGTTTTCATACGGTGTGAGAATTTGTTATTTCTTTCTTGCTTCTGTTTTGTTTTTTGTTTGGTTTTGTTTTTGTCTATGAATTTCCACTTTCTCCTGGACCATTGTTTGAAAAGACTGTAGCCTATATTACCTCCATTGAATTATTTTGCACCTTTGTCAAAATGAGTTCGCATATGTGTATTTCTGGATTCTCTATGCTGCTCCACCAATCTATGTCTATCCCTGCACTAATGTCGATCAGTATTGATTACTATAGCTATAAAAATTCTGAAATTTGGTAATAGTTATTTCATCTCTTTCCCTGTGAAATTTTTTTTTACCTATGCTAGTTCCCTTGGTTCTCCATATGCATTTTATAATAACTTTGTCTACAACTATTACAAATCTTGCTGGAATTTAGGGAGAAATTGTGTTAAACCTCGATATCAAATTGAGGAGAATTGACATCTTTACTATATTTAGTTTTCTAGTTTATGAACACAGTAAATCTCTTCATTTCTTCAGATTTTTTTATTTATCAGCATTTCAGCATATGGATTGTGTACATGTTCTGTTGGTATACTTATGAGGTTTTTTGAATGAAAATAATTCATGTTGTATTTTTAGTATTTGTTTTGATTTCTTTATTACTGTATATTCAAATAAAATTGATTTTTTTTGTTGATCTTGAATTCTGTGACCTTGCGAATTTCCTTAGTAGCTGAAGCAGAAGAGGAAAAGCACTCAGACTTTCACTATTAAGTATAATTTAGCCGCAACGTTTTTGTAGAAGTTATTTATCCAGTTGAGGAGGTCATCCTCAGTTCCTACTATTTTGAGGGGTTTTTTTAAATCATAAATTAATGTTGAATTATGTCAAAGGCCTTTTCTATGTCAATTGATATAACCATGCGATGTTTCTTCTTTAGCTTCTTAATAAGAAGGATGACACTGATTGATTTCAAACATAAACCAGACTTGCGTCCCTAAAATAAACGCTACTTGGCATACTTTACATATATTTTTAGTTTGGCAGATTTTTTACTTGCTAACATTTTGTTAGGGAGTTTTGCATGTATAGTCATGCAGGTATATTGCTTTTTAATTTTCTTTTGCTGTACTGTTTTTGTGTGCTTTTTATTTTAGGAAATGCTGGCCTCATAAAGTAAGTTGGGATGTCTTCCCCTCTCTTCTGTTTTCTGGAGGAAATTTTGCAGAGTTGTGTTAATTCTACTGAAATGTTTGGTAGATTTCTCCTGTAAAACTATTCTAAACTAGAGATTTCTCCTATAAGTTCAGTTCTTTTTATAATTACAGAGCTTTTCAATTTATCTATTTCATATTGAGTTAATTGTAATAGTGTGTACTTCTGTACTTTTAAAGGATTCTTTTCCATTTCACCTAAGTGTTTTTGGTGTATTCCTTTGGTGTACTATTGATGTCGAAGAATCTGTAGTGATATAATATGTTTCAACCCCAATATTGGTGTTTTTTCTCCTTTTTCCTTTTATTTTGTCCTAGAAATTTGTCAGTTCTATTAATATTTTCTAAGAACAAACTTTTTTTCCACTAATTTTGTCTCTGCCTCTTTTTTTTTTTTTTTTTTGAGACGGAGTTTTGCTCTTGTTGCCCAGGATGGAGTGCAATGGCGCCATCTGGGCTCACTGCAACCCCCGCCTCCCAGGTTCAAGTGATTCTCCTCCCTCAGCCTCACGAGTAGCTGGGATTACAGGACTGCGCCACCATGCTCAGCTAATTTTGTATTTTTAGCAGAGACAGGGTTTCTCCATGTTGGTCAGGCTTAAACTCCCGACCTCAGGTGATCCGCCCGCTTCAGCCTTGCAAAGTGCTGGGATTACAGGCGTGAGCCACCGAGTTCTGCCTTTATATCAGTTTTTTTTTTCTCCTTCTTCTTCTTGCTTTAGGTTATTTTTGACAATTTTCCAGATTTTTGAGGTGGGAACTGAGATTATTGGTTTCTGAGGTTTTCTCTTTTTCAGTGTATACATTTTGTACTATGCATAGTAGTTCAAATTACTCCTTTAGCTATGTGCCAAACATTTTGATATGTTGTATTTTCATTATCACTTAGTTGAACATACTTTTTATTTTCTTAAGACATCTTTTTTTTTTTGAGATGGAGTCTCGCACTGTCTCCCAGGCTGGAGTGCAGTGGCGTGATCTCAGCTCACTGCAAGCTCCGCCTCCCGAGTAGCTGGGACTACAGGCGCCCGCCACCACGCCCGGCTAATTTTTTGTAATTTTAGTAGAGATGGGGTTTCACCGTGTTAGCCAGGATGGTCTCGATCTCCTGACCTCGTGATCCACCTGCCTCAGCCTCCCAAAGTGCTGGGATTACAGGCGTGAGCCGCCATGCGGCGTCTCCAGCTGGAGTGCAGTGGCGCCTTGTCGGCTCACTGCAAGCTCTGCCTCCCGGGTTCAAGTGATTCTCCTGCCTCAGCCTCCCGAATAGCTGGTACTACAGGCGCCCGCCACCACACCTGGCTAATTTTTTGTATTTTTAGTAGAGACGGGGTTTCAGCATGTTGGCCAGGATGGCCTCGATCTCTTGACTTCGTGATCCACCCACCTCTGCCTCCCAAAGTTCTGGGATTACAGGCATGAGCCACCTCGCCAGGCCCTTTTTTTTTTTAGATGGAGTCTCGCTCTGTGGTCCATGCTGGAGTGCAGTGGCGCAATCTCCCCTGACTGCAACTTCAGCCTTCCCGTGTTCCAGCCATTCTCGTGCCTCAGCCTCCTGAGTAGCTGGGATTATAGGCAAGTGCCACTACGCCCAGCTAATTTTTTTTGTATTTTTGGTAGAGCTGGGGGTTTCACCATGTTGGTCTGGCTGCTCTCGAACAACTGACCTCGTGATCCACCCGCCTCAGCCTCCCAAAGTGCTGGGATTACAGGCGTGAGCCACCACACCTGGCCAAGACATTTTTTGATCCAAGGGTAATTTAAATGTATGTTACTAAGTTTCCATGTGTTTGGAGTTATACTGATTTTCTTCATGTTACTGATTTCTGGTTCAGCTCCGTTGCTTCCAGGGAGCACAGTCTGTATGATTTCAATTCTTTACATTTGTTGAGGTTCCTTTTATGGTCCAGGGTATGAGAGATGTTGGTAAATATTCCATGGACAGTTAAAAAATGTGTATTCTTCTGTCTGGTGTGGTGGTCTGCCAATGTCCATTAGATCTTATTGGTGGATAGTTTTGTTGGGTTTCATTATCTTGCTGAGTTTTTATCCAGTTGTTTTATTAACTTTTCAGAGTTGGTTTGTGGAGTCCCAAAGTTTAACTGTGTATTTGTCTATTTCTCCTTCCAGTTCTGACCATTTTTTGCTCTACTTATAAGTAACTTAGTTGTATGGTGTACATACTTTTAGAGTTGCTATGTCTTCTTTCTGAATTAACATTTTTATGATTATGTAGTGTTTCTGTTTGTCTCTCAGAATATTCTTTGCTCTGTGCATTTTATGTTATCTGATATTATAGCCATTTCTGCTTTCTTTGACAAAAGTAAGTACGATTTTTTTTTTCCATTCTTCTATTTCAGGCTTCCACTCTTGTAATATTTGTGGTAAGTTTCTCATAGGTAGCATATCAGCGGGTCATTATGTTTCACTCTGACATTTGTCTTTTTAGACAATTTACATGTCATGCAATTATTAATATGTGAGGTCTCATGACTGCCATTTGGTTTTTGTTTCTTCTGGTTTTTGCTTCTCTGTTTTCTTTCCCTGTTTTTCGATGTGTCCCTTAAGCAATATTTAGAATTCCATTTTTTAATCAATCACTTTTTGGTGTATCACATTGTAGAGTTTTTGTGTTTTATCTATCTATTAACGTAACTTACAGTCTACTTGTGCTGAGATTTTTTCAATTTGACTACAGTGTAAAAACTTTACCTTTTTATCCCTTTCACTCCTGCATTTATAATATATATTTTTTATTTTCTCTACTTGCATCAAAACCCAGATCTGACAATGTCGTAATTTTTGCCTCAACCATCAAACTAATTTATAAAACTGAAGAAGAGAAGTCTGTTGTATTGACCCATATCTTTACTCATTCTAGTTTCTTTTTTTCCTGATTGTCCAAGATTTCTTCCCTTACCATTTCTATTCCAGTTCAAGCACTTCCTTTACCCTTGTTTTAGGATAAGTCTGCTAGCATCAAATTCTCTTGATTTTCCTTCCTCTAAGAATGTCATGGCCGGGCGCAGTGGCTCACACCTGTAATCCCAGCACTTTGGAAGGCCGAGGCAGGTGCATCCCCTAAGCTCAGGAGTTTGAGACCAGCTTGGGCATCATGGCAAAACCCTGTCTCTGCCAAAAATACAAAAAGTTAGCCAGGCTTGGTGGTGTGTGTCTGTAATTCCAGCTACTCAGGAGGCAGAGGTGTGAGGATCATATAAGCCTGAGAGGCAGAGGCTGCAGTGAGCCATGGATGTGCCACTTCCCTCCAGCCTGGGTGACAGAGCAAGACTCCATCTAAAAAACAAAAAAAAAAAGAAAAGAAAAAAAGAATGTCATGATAGAACCTTCATTTTATAATAATATTTTTCTGGATGCACATTCTAGGTTAACATTACTTTCAGCCATTAAAATATCTTGTGGCACTTCTCTCTGGTCTGCATGATTTCTAATGAGGAATACACTGTCATTTAATTTATTTCCTCCTGTACATGAGATGTCATTTCTCTCTTGTTGCTTTCAAGATTTTTTGACATAAATTTCTTTGGATTTATCTTCCTTTAGATTTGCACAGATTCTTGAATTTTTACTTTAAAGTCTTTATCCAAATTTGGAAAATAGTCAATCTTCCTTCAAAGACTCTTTGGGCATCACCCATTTGTCATCTTTCTCTAAGACTCTAGAGACACAAATTTCATATCTTTTTTTATAGTCTTACAGATTTATCAGCATGAAATAATACTGAATATTATGAATAATTTTACAAAAACAAATTTGCATGCAATGAATAAATTACTCAAAATGTGCAATGTACTGAAGCTAACAAATAACATAAAATATGAAGAGTTCCACATCTCATAGAGAAAGCCAATTCTATAAAGCTTTCCCAAGACAAAACCCCAGGTTCATTTAGCTTCAGTAAATATTTTAAAATATTTAAGGAACAAACAACACTAACTTTATGCAAACTTCAAACATTTGAAAAAGTGGAAAACACTTGCAGTTAGGTTTGATGAGATCTGTGTAAAATTTACTTCAAGATCTGAAAAGAACTCTACAACAAATAGGAATTTATGGACCAATAATTCTTATGAGCCAAGTTCTTAAGAAAATAATAGCCAACTGAATTCATTGATATAAAAGATGGCTACTACATTATGACCAAGTGGAGTTTATTCCAGAAATGCAAGGTTGTTTGAGCATTTGAGAATCCATTAGTGTGATTCACTACATTAACTGAAGGAGGGAGAATACACATGCAACCACCTGGATAGAGTCTTGAAATATGATTTGACAGAATTCAGCACTTGGCCTTAATTTTTTAAAAATCTATTTGCAAACTTGTATTAAAAAGTTATTTCTTCAGTCTGAGAAATGATAGTAACCTTATTGCACATATTAGTCTCAGCCGTGAAATATTTAAAACTGTCTCCTTCATATCTGGAGTACTAGAGGAGTTAGGCAATGAAAACGGCAAGAAAAATAAATAAAAGAGATGATAATTGCATCCAGGTGAAATGGTCATTATTTACTCTCAACATAATCAGCTACTTGGAAAATAAAATTAGTAAACAAACTCATAGTTTTAATAAGTGAATTTAAATAATGTTGCTGAATACGAAGTCAGTATACATTAAAGCAATTATGTTATTGATATAGTTTGGATGTTTGTCCCGTCCAAATCTCGTGTTGAAACATAGCCTCCAGTGTTGGAGGCGAGGCCTGGTGAGAGGTATTTTGGTGGGGGGCAGATCCTTCATTGATGGCTTGGTGCCATCTTAGCTGTAATGCATGAGTTCTCACTCAGTTCACAGGAGATCTGGTTGTTTAAAAGAGTGCGACTCTTCCCCACTTTCTCTGTGCTCCTGCTCTCACCATGTGATACCCAGGCTCCCCTTTCCTTCCCCCATGATTGTTAGCTTCCTGAGGGCCCTCACCAGAAGCAATTGCCAGCACCACACCTCCTGTACAGCACGCAAAACCCTGAGCCAGTTAAACCTCTTTTCTTTATGAATTACCCAGCCTCAGGTATTTCTTTTTAGCAATGTAAGAATGGACTAACACAATAATGTTCTACCATAAACAAATAGAAAACAAAACCAAGAAAATAATTTTATCAATTTCCTCACCTCTTTGTTTTTTTGTTGTGGTTGTTTTTTGTTTTTGAGACAGAGTCTTGCTCTGTCTCCCAGGCTGGGGTGCAATGGTGTGACCTCGGCTCCCCACAGCCACCGTCTCCTGCTCACAAGCGATTCTCCTGCCTCAGCCTCTTGAGTAGCTGGGATTACAGGCATGCACCACCACGTCCGGCTAATTTTTGTATTTTTAGTAGAGGCAGGGTTTCACTATTTTGGCCAGGCTGGTCTTGAACTCTTGACCACGTGATCTGCCCACCTCAGCCTCTCAAAGTGCTGGGACTACAGGCTTGAGCCACCATGCACAGCCCTGTTTTTGTTTGTTTGTTTGTTTGTTTTTTAGACGGAGTCTCACTCTGTCGCCCAGGCTGGAGTGCAGTGGCGCGATCTTGGCTCACTGCAACCTCCACCTCCCGGCTTCACGCCATTCTCTGCCTCAGCCTCCCAAGTAGCTGGGATTACAGGCACCTGCCACCATGCCCTGCTAATGTTTTTGTATTTTTAGTAGAGACGAGGTTTCACCATCTTGGCCAGGCTGGTCTTCAAGTCCTGACCTCGTGATCCACCCGCCTTGGCCTCCCAAAGTTCTGGGATTACAGGTGTGAACCATCACACCTAGCAACAATGTCTTATTTTTTTAAAAAAGAATTATTTTAACAGGTTTACTGAAGCATAATTTACATACTGCAAAATTTACTCATTGTCTATATAAAATTTAATGATTTTAGTAAATTAATGGATTTGTGCAATTATCACAATGATCCAGTTTTATAACATTTCTATCGTGTCCAAAATTTATCTGTTTATAGTTAATTCCCGCCGATACCCCAAGTCCTAGGCACCCAATGATCTGCTGTTTGTGTCTATAATTTACCTTCTCTAGATATTTTAAGTAAATGAAATCATACAACATGTAATCTTTTGTGTCTAGTTTCCTTCACTTAGTTAACATTATTGAAGTTTACCAGTTTTGTAGTATGTATCATCAATTTTGTTTCGTTTCTTTTCATTCCTTTTTATTCATGTTGTCTTCTTTCATTTGTGTGAATTTATAAGGTACAAGTGTAGTTTTGTTACCTGCATAGATTGCTTAGTGGTGAAGTCAGTGTTTCTGCAGTATCCATCACCCCAATCACGTGCATTGTCCCCATTAAGTAATGTCTCATCATCTGGAGTGCAAGGATTGAAACTTGCCTTGGGAAAACTACCCTCATGTTCATGGTATCTCCCCTGCCATATAAGTCTATTTTTGTCCCCTTTTATTGTTGAATGATATTGCCTTGCATGGATGTAGTACCATTTTGTTTATCCATTTACTAGTTGAAGGATATTTGGATTGTTTTCAGTATGGGCCTACTATGGCTAACGCTGTTCTGAACACTCAAACACATATCTTTGTGAGGACATATGTTTTTATGTCTCTTAGGTAGATTCCAAGGAGTGAAATTGCTGGGTCATATGGTAAATGTATGTTAAACTTGCTAGGAAATTGCCAATTTCCAGGTATTTGTAAAATTATACACTCCCACCAGTACTACATAAGGGTTTAAAAGGTCTGTTTGTCTTCAAACATAATTATAATGTTGATGATACTATTAGAAATAACATCTGTCAGCCGAACACGGTGGCTCACGCCTATAGTCCCAGCATTTTGGGAGGCCAAGGCAGGCAGATCATGAGGTCAGGAGTTCGAGACCAGCCTGCCCAACACAGTGAAACCCTGTCTCTGCTAAAAACGTAAAAATTAGCCAGGCACGGTGGCATGCACCTGTAGTCGCAGCTACTCAGTAGGGTGAGGCAGGAGAATCGCTTGAACCAAGGAGTCGAAGGTTGTGCGGAGCAGGGAACACACCACTGCACTTCAGCCTGGACAACAGAGCGAGACCCCATCTCAAAAAAGAAAAATAAATAAATAAATAACATCTGTCTTGTTAATTTTATATTTTCTCTTTATGTTTCAATTTTTATTTATCCAGGATCTATTTAGTGAAAAAAATGAGTTTGGAGTACACCTTACCAAAAACTGAAACTAAATCTCAACTCTTTCTAATTCTAGACTCTGTTTTACTAGTATTTAATGAAAAAAAAATCAGTAACAAATGCCTTTTTAAAAATAAATGTATAGTGTGTTTTAAAACAGCACCTTACAGAGCTAGTCATTCCTTTTTCTGCTTTTTTTTCAAAAATTTCCCTAGAAAATATATTTACCTCATAAAATAACATGTCAGCATACTTGAGTTCTAAAAACAATCCTTTTTACTTGCTTTTTTGTTTTATTGTAATTGAGTTAATGGCTGACATTTAATACTCAATGTGAGTATATTATATATGTTTATATGTTTTTAAAATATATATATATTTAAATATATGTATAATAAATATATATGTATTTAAAAAGACCCAGAAACCCTGAATTGAGGATGCCTATCGGGAATCTCTAGGCCTTCACGTGGAATTTAACTATGAATACTAACAACCTAATAATACCACAATCTTTCATTGCCCTACCCAGAAATCAATCTCTCCTACTCCATCCACCATTTCTTTATTTTTAAAAATATATGATTTTGCTCTTTTTCTTCCCATGTGCATCAGGCCCACTCTACAAAGGTTGAATCCTGGCTTATCTGAGCCCATGTGATCCCACGGTCATTCCATTGTTTGAGAAAGTGGGTACTGGGAACACTCTAGAAACTGTTTAGTAGATTCTTATAAAGACACACAGGAAAAAGTCATATCCTTTTCCTGCCTTTGGGAGTTGTGAAAGAATAAGAAAACTAAAGCTGCTGCAGGGGTCCTCCTACCATCTCAGGAAAGCTGACGTGCTGTGTGTGATAGAGAGATGAGCTATGAAGTTCCAGAATCGCTGATGATGACACTGGCCTGCTGAGTTGAGCAACCCTGATGATGCCCAGACTTGGATGTATCGGCAATATGAGATAATGGGTTAAAGAAAAGAAAAGCCCACTAGATGGGATTTCCTGCTATTTGCAGCAGAAGGCATCTTCATTCAGATATTCATCCCACACATTTTAGTACTACCTTAGAATTCCACACCACAAGTCTCATATAAAATGAGACAAATCATTTCCTCAACTTAAGGAACAAAGCATATTTGTGGCAACTCTGGGATCAAACAGAATAAACATAATTATCAGCTTAGTATATTCCTATAGGATTTATATTCTTATAGGATATATACATACATGTATTGCTATGTATGTACAATAACATGTAACTAAAAACAAAATATGCATAAAATAAACCTTGAATTTGATTGAAAATAAAATAACAGTTGTCTCTGACGGATAAATTATGTTCAGATGATTATTACTTTGAAGTAAACTTTTGAATTGATTATGTACTTTCAGATTTGACATATTTGATGCTGACTCTCAGATAGAACACAATGGAGAACCCTCCATCTTCTAAATTTGCCTTTCTCTGAAATCTGTACAGGTCCTTTGATAATACTATATAACTGAAGTCTCTGGAATGAAAAACTATATACTAATTTAAAGGTATAGATTCACAATATCGTAGACGGGGTTAAGAAAAAGTTCTGATTGACTTGCTGGCTGGTTTCTCATCTCATGTTTGACAAGTTTGTTTCAGTTGTTATAGTCTGTTCTCAGTTTTTATGCATTGCCTTTTTGAACATTAGGTTTACTTTTTTAATTGGAAAGTAAAAATTGTATATTATATTTATGTTGTAGAGCATGAAGTTTTGATATATGCCTATAGTGTGGAATGTCTAAATCAAGCTATTTAACATGTGCATTTACCTCATATACTTATTATATATACATGAAAACCATTATTCTATTGGGAAATAATCTTCCCTTTCTCTTGTTTTTTGTCCTTGCAGCCAAATGGACCAGATAATTTTTAACTCTGTTTGAGAAACATTTAATAATGCAATGTGTTTGTGGCACAAGGGGAGTACAGATGCAGGGGAGGCAGGAAAGTTTAGGTAAAGAGAAGCACAAAAGTTGAAGATGAGGCGCTGCCATCAAAGCTGTGGGGCTTCAGGCCAAGAACAGGAGCTGCGGAAGCCACAAGGGAGGACATTTTCTGCAGAGTTGCTGAACCAGTAACAACCTAGTCCTGACAAAGCTCTTGTGGAAGAATAACAGCCAAGTGGGAAAGCTTTTCATCCTGCAAAGCTGGGGCAGAAGGTTCTTCCTTGAATGTGGTCATCTGCACTTCAGCTCGAGTCCTGCGGAGACAGAGGAAATTGTTTTCAGACCTGGCTTTACTAAAACTTCTTTTCCCCGCTTTCAACGACTCAGATGAGAGCACTGCAGGAAGAAGAAAAACAAGTTCCTAAGTCTCCCTGAGCCAATGATCCTGCAAAGCACAGGCCTTTTCTAAGTGGAGAGGAGGAGTTTTGGTGTAAATTGCCTGATCAGAAATCTGGATCCAAAGTCTTTCCTATTATTTCTGTCTCACGCCTTATCACCTCTGCCATCATTCTAGGGAAACCGAATCTCTTTCTGAAAGAAGATTAAAAGGTATTACCTTTTGGGTGAAGTCCAGAGTGTCCTGGGAAAAAGAGGAAAATATATATACTTAAAAGGTATGGAAGCAAATCTGTCTTCCAATGCAATGTCCCAGCCCCAGATCTCCCACCTGAGATTTCTCTAACACCACAACCCCCACCAACCACGGCAGAGAAGAGCAGAAACAGACCATGTGACCCATGAAGCATGAGGTGTCTGTCACAGGATCCAGTGTAATTGCATTAGCCTTAGTGGCTCTTCCTTAATTTGCTTCAGGATCTCGAAGCAAAGGACCCCTACTTGTTAACCTTTCTCTTATCTCTGCAGGCCACAAGCTATTATGCTTTGACATAGTAACCATGCACTGATGATTTCTGGATTATCAGGACATTGGAGGTCATTTGGGGAAAGAAAGGCTTTATCCAGGGCCACTGATATACTGAGAACTAATCCTAGCAAAGCCATATTTCCTCCTCCAGAAAAGCCTATGGAGATACTCAGCTCCCAAAAGCTCCTCACCTTTCTGATTCTTGAAGTAGATGAACAGCCCCGTCCCAAGGAAGAGCAGGCCCAGCACGAAGCCCCCGACTCCACTCAGCATCTTGCTCTGTGCAGATTCAGACCGTGCTCCTGAGAGAGGAAGCCAGGTTTAGTGACGTTTATTCCAAATTGAACCTCTTTACTTGAGACCCTAAGATTCAGAGCTTTCAAAATGGGGAAGAAGGCTACCCTGTAAGAACTAAAATAACTAGCTGTTTCTGGGGGAAAAAACGTTTTTCAAATCACACTGAACAGTTACAAGGTCCAGGCATCAACCTCATTCAAATATTACAGCCTTGATGTAAGGCACAACTTCAAAATCTGATCAACAGAAAGCCTGAGTCTCAGTGAGGTTAAGTAGTTTGTCTAGAGTGACAGAGCTAATAAAAGACAGAGCTGAGATTGGACTCCCCTCATGTCAGGAAGGTCGCTGCAGTTCTCCTCTTCTCAGATCACAACAAACAACTCAGATCAAAAGCACCAGAAACACAGTCTCAGACCCAGAGGCCCAGAGCCCAGGGAGACCGCGTGACCCTGACCTGTGCTATCATGTGGAGGTTCAAAAGAGGGACAGCCTCTCCTGCGTGGCAGGTATGACTGCTTCTCCAGGAGGTACAGGTTTCTAGAAACCTGTTTCTAGAAATCGTTTCTAGAAACCTGTTTCTAGAAATCGTTTCTAGAAACCTGTTTCTAGAAATCGTTTCTAGAAACCTGTTTCTAGAAATCGTTTCTAGAAACCTGTTTCTAGAAATCGTTTCTAGAAACGATTACAGGGCTACCCCCAGTGACCTGTGCTGATGGAGATGAGAACATGGAGCAAATGCAAATAGGATGTGGGAGAGGAGAAACCTGACACTCAGGGATTGGCACAGTCCCCTTCTTGGTGGGTGAGAAATTTAGGAAGTCAGAAAACTGCTCACTCCATTGCACTGTGAGAGGGCTCGTCATGCTTGGATGCTCCTCCACTCCGAGGAACTGTTTCCAGCATCACCAGGGTCTGGAAAGTCCAGTCTCCATTCTGGATCAGGCCTATGGAGACCACCGCAGCCTTCTCTTCCTGACCATTCCGGAACCACCTGACTTCAATGCTGCCTGGATAGAAACCACTCACACAGCAGACCAGGAGGTTGCTGTGAGGCAGGGGCTGGGTCTTTGCAGGATACATAGTCCCCTTAGGTTGGACTAGGAGAAAAACAGGTAGAGAGAATGAATCAGGAAGTTAGAGTCTCGTTGTTCAGCTGTTTGTTTGCTTCTCTGTAAACCCAGGCTCTGGCCTTGACCAGGCCTCCAACACAGCTGGCCATATGCCCTCACAGTGTCATCAGCCTGGAATTTAATCGTGATAGTGTGGACCCACTAGATTTGCGAGATGTTGTAAAAATTTTATTTGTTTCTTCATAGCTTGAAATTGTCATGCATTATTTAAGTGTTTACAAATCTTTGAAAGTACAGAGTGTATTAATTAAAACTGATACCTGAGCCAGGTTGCCTGGTTCAAATCCAAGGTCTGCCTTTTAGTGGTTGATCCTGGAAGAGTTTTTTGATTCTTTTGTGTCTCAACTTTCTCACGTATAATGTAGGTTAAATTATACTAATTTACCTCTTGGGGTTATATGAGGATTAATTTACGTAAAATATATAAAACAATGACTGAAGATAGCCTTCAACTTATGAGGTCAGAAAGCTTCTCACTCCATTCCATTGTGAGAGGGCTCATCACACTTGGGTGCTCCACTTGGCACCTATTTATCATCCTCTTACACCTTGAGAGAAGAATATGTCTTAAAGCAATGTGGATAGATAAAGGCACAGAGTTGGGTACATGAGGAAACCGAGTATGAATTTTTAGGAATAGTACCTCCATGCACTCACACCTTAGAACACCAGAGAAATGGTTCTGCCCCTGGGAAGGCGGGACAGACAGAAATGATTCTCCGAATCTTTATATTCGTAGAAAAGCCTGAGTCCTAAAGCAGAGATTTAGGAATTAAGGAACGTCATTTTAGTTTTGAAAGTTCTTACATTCACATTTAGCTGATCAATGCATCTCCTGTGCAAAACAAGCAGAAATGATTCTCCAAATATATATATATATATATATATATATATATATTTTTTTTTTTTTTTTTTTTTTTTGAGATGGAGTCTCACTCTGTTGACCAGGCTGAAATGCAGTGGTGCCATCTTGGCTCACTGCAACCCCCGCCTCCTGGATTCAAGTGATTCTCCTGCCTCAGCCTCCTGAGTAGGTGGGACTACAGGCGGTAAATCCACCAGATCTTTCCAATGTCCTTTTTCTGGGGATTTCCATAACACTTTCGGAAAACCTCTTCTCTTTTTCTCTAAGAGTGGCCAATGTCTTTCCACTGGAGTCTTAACATCCGTACCAGGAGTCAAAAAATTTAAAGTAAATAAGGCTAAATATAACTTTGATTGCAGTGGTAACTTGTCTCCTACTCCTCCGTTTTGTCTTTTCAACATGTGTTGTAATGTTTGATGTGCCTGCTCTATAATGCCTTGTCCTCTAGGATTATAAGGAATTCCTGTTTTATGGGTTATGACCCAAAGCTACAGGAAATTTTGAAAAGCATGACTAGCATAAGCAGGTCCATTGTCAGTTTTTAATTGTTTAGGTATCCCCATATGAGCAAATGATGACAGAAATGTTGCCGCACATGACCAGCTGTCTCAGCTGTTTGGCATGTAGCATGCAGCATATGAGAATAAGTGTCTATAGGCACATGAACATAGCTAAGCTTACCAAAGGCTGCTATGTGTGTAAATCCATTTGCCAAATTTCATTTAGAGCCAAACCTCGTGGATTACATCCTTCTACAGGTGTGGCTCCAGGGACATGCTGGCAAGTTGGACACGACTGTATTATAGACCTAGCTTGGCTGTGAGGCAAGCTAAACGTACAAGTAAGGGCAGAAGTGTTTTGATGCAGTAATACATGAGAGGTTTGAGCTTGCTGAAACACAGAACCAATCAATTTATTTGCTCTATCATTACCTAGAGATAGGGCTCCAGGAAGTTGTGTGTGAGAGCAAATAAGAGAAAAATGAAAAGGAGCTGCACAAGACCGAATAGTTTGTTGAAGTCTTAGGAAAAAATTAAGCAGTTCTGGTTCTAGGGTACTTTTAATTGTAGCAGTTTCTATGCAACTGGCTACATTTACAACATAAGCTGAATCACAGACAATGTTGATAGCATCTGAAGCTGTGAGCTGTAAAACCTGTATGACTGCAATCAACTCTGAGTATTGAGCTGAAACCCCAGAGGTCATTATTGTTTGAGTATGCTTGGGTCCATAAACAGCTGTACCACCTTTGGAAGAGCCATCAGTAAAATAGGTTTGTCCACCTGGAATAGGCTTGTGATGAGTAATCACAGGAAGAATGAAAGAATAGACTTTATAAAACTGCACAATTTTGTCTGAAGGATGGTGAAAGCAAAGGTTTCTGTGGCTGTAGCTGGGAGGCATGCCGTTGCTGAAGCATCTGTTCCACAGGCTGTAACTCAGCTTCTGCCTCTTTGGTCAATTGCTGCGGGGAATCTAATGAAGAATCTCCTTGTAGGGTTTGAGAAGGTTGTGTCAGTTGATAAGTGGCAATATCTAGCATTGGGTGCAGCCAATTAATATCCCCTAACAACTGTTGAAAATCATTTAAAGTCTGTAACCTGTCTTTAAGGAGAACTACTTTTTGAGGCCGTACACGTCTTTCAGTAACAATATTATCTAAGTAACGATATGGCGAAGTTGTTTGTACCTTTTCTGGAGCTATTTTTAGATTCCATTTAGTTAAAGCCTGCTTTGTTTCTCAGAATAACTGATGTAAGATTTGATCTGTAGGAGCAGCCAAAAGAATGTCATCCATAAAATGAATGATGTAAGCAGTAGGAAACATATTTCGAGGCTCCTTTAATGCCTGTCCTACAAAATGCTGACATAACGTAGGACTGTTAAGCATGTCTTGGGGTAAAACTCTCCATTGATAGCAAGAAAGAGGTTCTCTTTGATTAATAGAAGGCACAGAGAAGGCAAATTGAGGCTTATCCTTCTCATGTAATGGTATAGTGAAGAAACAATCCTTAAGATCTATTACTGCAAGAGGCCAATCTCTAGGAATGACCACTGGAGTTGGCACACCTTGCTGTAATGGACCCATTGGTTTAATTTGTGCATTAATAGCTCTCAAATCATGCAGCAGTCGCCATCTTCCAGACTTTTTTGGAATAACAAACACTGGTGAATTCTGGGGGCTAACTGACTCCTCTATATGTCCTGTGTCCACTTGTTCTTATACTAGCTGCTGAAGTTGTGTCAGCTTCTCCTGAGATAGGGGCCATTGATCCACCCATACGGGTTTGCCATTGGCCATTCTAATGGTGAGGCAGAGGGTGGAGGAGAAATATCAATGACCGCCATCAGAAATCCTGATGTCATAGCCCTTTTCTATCTGTTTTTCCAGTTATTGATATTGGGTTAGGTTTTCCTCGTAGGAATTTCCCTAAACCTTTCCCACTCTGATATCCCATGTCTTTCAATGTTTTAAATCCTGGGTTATCAAAGTTTTCATTTGTAAGTCTCATATTCAATGCTGTAAGTAAGTCTCGATCCCATAAATTGATTGGTATATTTGCAACATAAGGCTAAAAAGTACATGACTGTCCATCCGGACCAAGACAAGATAAAATCTCAGCACTCTGTTGAACACTTTTAGCCACTCCTACTCCCACTAGGGATGTGGAGGTTAGTTTGAGAGACCATACTGGAGGCCAGTCCTTACTGGATATTACTGCCACATCAGCTCCTGTATCCATAAGCCCATAAAATTTCTTTCTTTTAATTTGTACTACACAGGTGGATCTATTAGAGGCTATGGGCTGGGATAGATAGATTTCCCATGTAGTTGTGCTTCCAAACCCTTTATTTCCTCATTTCTCCTTTTGTGGAGAAGGATGTAATTTGCGGGGAATAAGCAACAACTGAGCAATATATTCTCCCAGTTCAAAAACCCAAAGACATTTTGACATTAAAACTACTTGAATTTCTCCTTCATAATCAGAGTCAACTACTCCAGGGACTACAGTCATGCCTTGCAAGTTAAGGGGGCTTTTACCTAAAATTAGTCCTATGTATCCTGTTGGTAAAGGCCCCCAAATGCCAGTGGGAACTTTGGTAGGTTTGTCTCCTCCAACTAATGTAGTTCTTTCTCTGGTGGGGAGATCTAATCCTGCACTTCCTGGTGTTCCTGAGGTGAGGAATACCAGGAATCAATCTTTCTCCTGGGACCCATCCCTGAAGTGGGCCTGTGGTCTGAACTGGAAATGCCCTCGTTGTTTGAGGGGCACGCGTACAGGCCCCCTTCTAGTTTCCCGACAGGTGGGTGCTGTTTTCATGAAATTTTGAATGGCTGATTACCCCAGTGACTTCCTTGGTTACAGCGAGGACAAAGTCCTGGTGTTTTTTCTGCTAGGTGGGGCACTGCATTGTAAGTTCCTTTCTGTCCTGAGATCTGGCGGCATTCCTTTTTAAAATGTCCAGTTTTTCCACAATTATAACATTTTCCCATTTTAGGGTTTGACCCTTGGCTCCTTTTACATTTGTCAACTGCTAAATTAGCCATTGCCTGCGCTAATATTGTAGAGCAATGAAGCTCAGTTCCCACAACCTGACAGGCTCTGAGAAAATTTCCCAAGTTTTTTATACACCTCACAGGTGCCAATGCACGTTTACAATCTGCGTTTACATTCTCAAAAGCTAGAGTTAAGGTTAGCATTTCTGCAGCATCGGTATGAGGAATCTGATGCTTCATTGCATCTTGTCATCATGCAAGAAATTGTGCACAAGGTTCCTGCAACACTTGCATGATATGTAAAAAGGATTGCACTGGGACTCCCTCTTCTGGAATTGTGGCCCTGTCGCATTTAGCAGCCTATGCACACTGCTGGCATTTGGGAGTGCCATTTGATGTTCCAGGTCTGAATAGGGCCATTACCTAACAGCATGTCCTCTGTAATGTCTCTGTGTCCAGCTACACGATTCTGTCTAGCATTGTCTGCACACATTTCTTGCCAATTTAAATTCAATGTCAGGTATGCACAAGGAGACAAACAAGCATGAGCTGAATGCTTTCCATCAAAGGGTAGAAGGCGCACAGCACCAAATACAGGTTCTAGCAGTCCTAAAGTGAATGGGCTCTGTATACCATTGTTTACCACACTCATTTTAATTCCTTCAACAACTTAAACTCTAGTGGAGTGTGTTCATGAGTGAGCTGCTATGGATTATTTGGATCAGGCCTTACAGAAATAGGAAAAGTGCAAGGTCCTATGGGCTCTTTAGCCATGGCAGCAGAGTGTAAAATGCTCTGTATTGGGGTCTCTATTTCTGCTACCGAAGGAGGCGGTACAGATGTTTCTGCTATTGGAGGAGGCAGTATAGGCCAATTTTTTTCCTCCCTCTCCTGTTTTTTATTTTAAATTGGAGCTGTGAGTGGTACAACAGATTCTTTCAGATTTTTAGACTCAGAACATCACTCCTACTGTCCAGCAGAATAAGAAGGAGATAATGGCAGAAGGACAGTACGGACTAAACTCCAAGTGGAGAAAAGAGAAGGATCAACTTTGAGACCTTTTTGATGAGCCCATTTTAATCCTTCTGCTCTGTCCCAATTTTCCATATCAAGAGTGCCTGTCTGTGGGAACTATGGGTTATGCGTAATAACCTCCTGCAGCATTTTTGTTAATGTCTGAGATCTAACCTGAGCACCAGATTGTTTCAACAAAACTTTAAGCAACTGCACATAATGTTTTTCTTCAATACACAAATTCTGCCCCATGTTACCCTGATTCAGAAAACTTTCTGTTCCCAATACTTCTTTAGAACACTGACCTTATATTGCTCCCAGTACCTCTTTAGGGCACTGACCTTATATCTGCTGCCAGCAGACTCATCCCGGGGTCCCCATACGTCTTGTCAATTTCAGTTCCTCTGCTCCAGCAGACCTTCTTTGTTCACATCCTCGTGTCCCTGTGTTGTGAAACCACTATGGCGTTGCCCTGTCGCTGTTTGAATGTCACTATGCCATGGACCCTGTTGGACTGAACAAAGGAGGACGAACGGGGGGAATAAAGACAAGAGAGTTCATTTGGAAGAAGGGGTCGGGGGCACCTTGCTCTTAGTGAACAAGGGCCCTGAACTTTGAGCTTTCTTTGTTGAAAGAAGCTCAACAAAGTGAAAAGAGATAGTGAGAAGGGGGTGGTTGTTGGTCTGCTGCTTGCTCCAGAGCAGCCTTGCAAGACTGCATTCCTCGAACAATAGGCTCTAGATGTCCCAGTAGATAAACTCAAGGAGCCCAGTGCCAGGGAGTGATTGCCCTCAGCAAAACTTCTGGCGGCCAGCAAAGAAGAGAGTTTGCCCCTATTCTGTATTCCTGATAAACAGTTTGCTGTTTGATCATATAGCATCAGTGGAATGCTGAGTTGGTCACGATTCTCCGGCCTCCGGTTCTCTACACCAAATGGATTCAACAAGAAAGTGGTTGAATTTATGCAACTCTGTAGTTTTTTCTAATGAAACAAGCAAAAATTAACCATAAAGAAATGATTGGGTGGTGAGTGTATAAAAGATATGAGTCAGGCCGGGTGCGGTGGCTCATACCTGTAATCCCAGCACTTTGGGAGGCTGAGGTGGGCGGATCACGAGGTCAGAAGATCGAGACCATCCTGGCTAACATGGTGCAACCCTGTCTCTACTAAAAATACAAAAAATTAGGCAGGCGTGGTGGCGGGCACCTGTAGTCCCAGCTACTCGGGAGGCTGAGGCAGGAGAATGGCATGAACCCGGGAGGTGGAGCTTGCAGTGAGCCAAGATCCCGCCACTGCATTCTAGCCTGGGTGACAGAGTGAGACTCCGTCACAGAAAAAAAAAAACAGATGTGAGTCTAGACTTTTCAGAAAGAGCACAGTGTGAACCAGTGCTCTCAGCCTGCACTATTGACATTTTGGACCAGATAATAATTTGTTGGTGATGGAGGCTGTTGTGTACATTGCAGGTTCTCTAAAAGTATCCCTGGCATCTGCTCATTAAACATCAGAAGAAATCCCTGTTGTGACAACCAAAAATTCCTCCAAACATTGCCACACATTCCCCAAGGGTGATGGGAGGGAAGGGAGGGTTGGCGAACTATCCCTGGGTAAAAACCATGGGTGTGAACCATCTGAAAAAAATCTGTGTTGAACAAGCCACTATTAGTTATGGAGCAGCTGAGAATTATTTTGAAAAATATCTGTTGAAAATCTTGGTCCTACATAAAATGAAAATATTGTAGAATTCTGGTCTCAATACATGCTATGTTTCCAGAAAATGAACTTGTGGAGAACCAAGATTTACTGATTTCCTTGCCTTACCAATCAGTCACCAAATCATATCATTTATCTTTCATAGCATCTTCTTTCTTAATTTCTGTGCCACTGGTACACTAATTATCTGTGGTAATGCATCACAACCACAGCTATTTTATTCCCATTAAATGCCCCAACAAACTCATTTCTCTCAGTCTCCCACTCCCAACAGTACTAGCAGGCATCAAATTTCCAGCCTTGGCCAGAGGTAGAACTCTCGGTTTTGTAGTTAAGTCCCCTCAGAAAGGGAGAAACCAAAAAAATGACATTCTCATACGGACAGTTTACAAAAAATGAGCAGGTCCCCAGACTTTGAGTATGACCTTCATAAAGCTTCCTTTGCCCTTTAGAAAAGATGCCCTGGATCAAAAATGTCTGTCTTTTTATTCTTAAATTATCTAAGCACTTTCTTTACAGAGAGAAAGTTAAAAAATAAAAATGTGTGAAGTCACTGTCACTGTGACTTGCATGGCTCGCCCTGTAATCCATGCTCATGTGTCCCAGTTAGGGTTGAAAGGTTTGACAAATAAAACCAGAGGATGCCCACTTAAATTTGGATTTCCAATAAATTATGGTGTGTATCTGAAATTCAGATTTAACTAGGGACTTGTATTTTATTTGGTAACCCCAGGCCAACTTGCTAGTCAAACTTCAGAACAAGGAGTGATTTAATACTTCCTTGTGTTCTTCAACATATGCCCAGGAGAGACATATAGAACTTTTAAAATGATAAATGCAAAATGAATGAAAGTTTTGCCTATACATTGGAACTAGCAGCCCTTGCATCTCTGCTCCCACTTCAAGAAACAACCTGGTACATTTGAATATCAGAAATTCCGTCAATAATTCAGACACAGTCTGGTCACTACTCACTAATGATGGCCAGACTTTCAATCTCTAGAATCAGAAAATCTGAATGGAAACATGATCTATTCTACTTGGGTCAATTTTTACCAACCATAAGCCTTTTTGTAATCTATCAAATGCATTTAATAATAGCGTAATCCTCACAGGATTTTTGTTTGTTTGTTTGTTTTTGAGACGGAGTCTCGCTCTGTCGCCCAGGCTGGAGTGCAGTGGCGTGATCTCGGCTCACTGCAAACTCCGCCTCCTGGGTTCACCCCATTCTCCTGCCTCAGCCTCCCAAGTAGCTGGGACTACAGGCACCCACGACCAAGCCCGGCTAATTTTTCTGTATTTTTAGAAGAGACGGGGTTTCACCATGTTAGCCAGGATGGTCTCAATCTCCTGACCTCGTGATCCACCCTCCTCGGCCTCCCAAAGTGCTGGGATTACAGGCTTGAGCCACCGCGCCCGGCCAGGATTATTTTTAAGTATAAAATTAAATAATGATTTTTCGTAGCACTGACCACATAATAAACAGTCAAATATATTTCCATTTTAATTTTTATGATCCCTTTAACTGCAGCTCACATTATTTTTCCTATTCCTTGATTCTAAAGCAATTTGTATCTTCATCATGATTTTGCAATTGTCTTCTGTTCTTTTATTAGTTTCATAAAAAATTGTCATTCTGAAAACATAGGGCAGAAACACTAGCTTATGTCTAATAATGCAGTATACCTAAACCTCACACAAAAGGGATCTGCTGACATAGGAGAAAGGGACTTTCTACATGCTCAGATTTAAACTGCAATCTGATTTCTAGCACTACATTTGGGATACTGGGTTTTATTTACATCTTCTCAATTTTAGACTCCTGAGATGTATATGTTTTTAAACACTACAGATACAATAGGATCATTGTTGAAACTGAATACTGAAATTCATAGACCTGGTACACAGTTACTGCAGAATGTTATATGGCATGTACTGATGGAGACTAGATTTATTTCATTCATCACTCCATTCTCATGACTTAGAGTAATAACTGGTATATTCTAAGTCACTAATAAATACGGGTTGTGTGAAATATTGGCTGTGTGATGTTTTGCATGAGCAGTCACCACTGCACACAGGGACCCTCTCGTATTTCCTTGCCATTAATGACTGAGCATCTCTGGTTCACAGGTCCTCCTGCTTCTCTTCGGCCTCTTTAGCCTTTTCCTTTAGATTCAGCTGTCTCCCTAAATCCAGAGTGCAGTCCTTCCCTGAAGCTCTCTACTCAAAACAGTCAACCTTAACCTCATCCTCACTTCTACTTGCTCTTCAAATGGTCCATTCCATTTTCCATCCTGGATGCTCCATTGACTGCAGATATCAACTCCAGCAAACCCAGCACTTGCTTCTCTCTCACATTCTCACTTCACCCACTTAATGATACTCATTGGCTTCTCCCCGCTTCTTGAAAAAAATCTGTTTTCCTTGACTTACAAGCATTATGTTCTCTTGGTTTTTCTCCTACATCCCTGGGGCTCCCTCTCAGTCCCCTTTGCTGGCCTGTGCCTTCTTCTTTTTTCTACACACAAGCTATTACCCTATGTATCCTCTTCCACTCCCTGGAATTTAACAGAGTACACGTATTGATGCCATCAACATAAATACTTCCAGCCCTGGACTCACCGTGAGTCTCTTAAATTCCATTGACCTTCTGATTGTTCCACATAAACGTCAATAAATCATTTCCAACCACCCACTTCAAATAATTTCCTCCCACAGTTTTCCCTATCTCAATAAACAACACCACCATCCACTTATTTGTCAAGACAAAATCCTTAGGAATAAGCTTGATTGTTCTATCCCCTTTACAGTAATCCATTAACAACCTGAGCAAAATACATGCCGAGTCTGTCCACTTCATGTTTTTCACTGTCTTTATCACTAATGCACACCAGGAAGCCATGAGCTGTTTTCCCTGAGGATTCCCTGCTGTGCTCCTAAAAAGTCTTCCTTTTTACTTGTGAACCCCAGCAATCCAATCCCCACAAAGTAGCTAGAATTAGTTTTAAAAATTGAATATAAATTGACTCTCCTTGTAACCATCCAATAGCTTCCCATATCTGTTTAAATAAAATTAAAATTTCTTACTGTGAACATCAGGGCCTAATATGATGAGGCTCCTGACCTCCTCTCTGCATCCTACCTCATCATCTGCCTCTCCATTTCCTTGCTTCCTTTACGTCAGTCCCTCTAGCCTTCTTTCTCTCCCTGCATATAAATTCCCACACCAGGGTTTTCCCCCAATTTGTGTCTCTCTGGAACATTTGACCCTTACATCTTCACATGGCTGTTTACTTATTTTGTTGTCTCAGCTGAATGTCACTTTCTCAGGTAGAGCTGCCTAAGCATATGAACCAAAATTGGGTGAATCCAATTCTCTCTTTCCACAAACCTGATGTCTTTTCTTCAGTGCATGATGACTCTCTGAAATTTTCTTCTTTGTTAAATGATTATTGGGTTATTGTCTATCTCCTCTATGATTGTGTAACTTCCATGAGTAGGGACCAACCCACTCTATCTTACTCAAATAGAATGATTTGAACCTAGAAGGGAGGCCAGTACACAGTAGCTGCTGATAAAAATAACTGTGGTTTACATGAATAAACCAGCATTCTCGGAACTCATCACTGTGTGGATCCTGAAAAGCAAGAAGGGGCTCAAGCTCCAGCACTTTTTCATTTTGATGTCACACTAGACCCCTTCTCTTCCCTGTGAGAAATACAGGCAAACTTCTTCTTTCTCCTCCTCCTAGTTGGAAGAATTCACAGATAAGGAAACAGTAATTTTTTTCTTTTTTTTTATATTTGGGACAGAGTCTAGCTCTGTTGCCAGGCTGGAGTGCAGTGGTGTGATCTGGGCTCACTGCAACCTCTGCCTCCCAGGTTCAAGCGACTCTCCTGCCTCAGCCTCCCGAGTAGCTGGGATTACAGGCAAGTGCCACCACGCTCAGCTAATTTTTTTTATTTTTAGTAAAGACGGGTTTCACCATGTTGGCCAGGATGATCTCGATCTCCTGGCTTCGTGTTCCGCCCACCTCCGCCTCCCAAAGTGCTGGGATTACAGGCATGAGTCACTGCAACCGGCCAAGGAAACAGTAATTTTAAGAAAAAAGAATTTTTTGTTGTTGTTGTTAAGATTCATGTATTTTCAGCAGGGCACGGTGGTTCACATCTGTAATCCTGGCATGTTGGGAGGTAGGAGGATCACCTGAGCCCAGGAGTTTAAGACCAGCCTTGGCAATATGGCAAAACACAGTCTCTGCCAAAATTACAATAATTAGCTGGGTGTGGTTGCCTGCCTGTAGTCCCAGCTACTCTGGAGGCTGAGGAGGGAGGATCACTTGAGCTTTGGTGGCAGAGGTTGCAGTGAGCCTCTATCACACTACTGCACTACAGCCTGGGTGACAGAGCCAGGCTCTGTCTCAAAAAAAGAAGAAATTATCTCTTGTGATAAACCTCATAGTTCTCTGGGTCTGTGCAAGCTTTAAGGATTTCAGGAAATAATGACAACATAGCTGGGGAAAAACAGAGAGAAACTGGAGGAAGAGGTAAGCAGAAATGGCTAAATAAGAAAAGCCGAGAGCATGATGGGTGAACCTATGAAATTTAGGACAAGACCCGAGTAAGAGAATGAGTTCCCAGGACTTGCTCATTGACTTTCAGCCCTGTGAGATGTGAACAATGTCCACATTGTCTCGGTAACTCCACTCAGAGTATATCGTTTGAATCTTAGCAAATTTCTGATATTTGACTATTTTTGACTTAACAAAAATAGAATTTCATATAATTTTTCCTACATTGACTGAATCTCTTCTTGTGGAGTCTAGTTAGAGCATGTAGGCGAAGGTAATATACAAAGGTTAAAAGAGATTCATAATAAACACTAACCTGGGCCGGGTTTTCAGAGGATGCCTTAAGTTCTTTAGGCACCAAAGAACACCCCATAGGTATTATTTGCCTGTAGGGTGACGCCAAGTACTAAAGATCTCAGCTTCAGTTCCAGGGATTTTTCCCCATAAGAAAGAAAGAGCAGTAAGTATAACTTTTGTCAGAGAACCTACATACGCTACAGGGATACAGGCTTTATAAAGATTGTGCTTCAGAAAGAAAAGAAAGGAGATAATGGGGAGGCCACTGAATACATCCTCACATATGAGGAAGAGGGGCCAATACCAGAGGTTCTGTGGAGGACATAACACTGGATCATCTAGGAGAGACCCTTTGAATTCCCTTGACTCCCACAAAATTTTCAGTAAAAACCTCCTTTTGTCTGACATAAGTCAACATAATAAAGGGAAGTGCTGTATGGGGAATTTATTTTAGCATCCTTATTTCTAAATCTTCTAAAGACCCTGAGGACATGTGATGCAAAGGTTTTATTGGTGGAGATTTGAGAAGAAATGGCCTGTACACAGGCCCCTTATATGGAGAGGGCAAGTAGTGAAGCTCCTTTTGTGGAGGAAATAATTTGGGATCCATATGATAAAGATGGGCAATCCCTGTTGAAAACGTCACATATTCTTAAGGGACATGGCCTGGGCATAGTGACAAATTTAGCTCCCTACTTTACCCACTTTATAGTAGCTCAGCACCCACAGTGTGCACTTAGGTCGGGTGCCCACAGCCAAAGCCAGTGGGGAGCTCAGCACCATCAGTGTCACTGTCAGAGGTGCCATGCAAGAGCCTCCAGCCAGGCAGCCTGAGGCACACCATGCTGGAGAACAGCACAGGACCAGGTGCCAGGGTAGCAGGCAAGTCTCACATTCATGGAGAACTATGACCCCCACCACTCACATCCCAAACATAGGGAGGAAGTTACTAATTTCTTTGCTCCTGGATTGGGTAATCCCGCGTTGGAGAACCAATCAGCATCTGAGTTCAGTATCATCATCAGTTGCTGCTCAGAGATGCAGTATGAAGGTCCTCTTCTGAAATAATTTCCTTCTTTAAAAGATTGTTTTAATTTAGTACTTGGAAGGTTCGACCCAGTTGCATGGGAAACACTTTAATTGGGTCCTTATTGTGAGCCACCTCTGAGCTGGTCAGTGATGTGTTCACAACTTTGAGTCTTGTAAGAACATTCATTTCCCACTTGACAACAGAAGTATTTGCAGCAGTGACTGTGTTTAGGAGTAAATGAGATGGAGGGAACATGGTTGAAAATCAGGACACCTTTAATCTGGTCCTTATTGCACCATATCTTAATGTCGTAGATTTGGGAAAATTACTTCATGTCTCACAGTTGATATGAAGGCACCATGATCTTTCAGGTCTTTCAATACTGGAAAATGCTGTGATTCTGTGGACGCCTCAAGTAGCAACAGCCCCTGGGTATCTGATGATATGACAGAATGACAGCTGTTGACTGGAGAGTGTAATCTGTACCTATTTCCAGGTAGGGATGTCCTTAATAAGTTAAAGGAAATGGAAAGTTTGTTAATAATTTAATCTGAGTAAAAGGTTTTATATAAAGTGTGTCTCCTGATGCTGCCCCCAAGTTTAGTGGCACCTCCAGAGCACACACAGGAAGGGGCTTGCAGGGACCACCTATGTGCAATGGAGGGTCTGAAGGTGCCTTTGTATAGCACTTGCCCTAACAATGTGATAAGGTCAACTGTCCAATCGAAGTATTCAGGGGTCTGGGAGATCGGTCAAGGACTCAAAGTCAGCTGTTGACAGAACAACTCTGTTTCAAAATAATTAATATTTTACGTGAAAAGTGTTCAATCCCTCATTCCCGGTTCCCATTAGGATTTCCTCATTTGATTGAGGTTATGGCCCTTTACTATTATGCTTCTTTTGATTTATCATAAGGGAAGATATAAGAAGACTGTGCTAAGTAATATGTTACAGAATGTTCAGGAAAGAGAACCCTAGGGAAAAACTATGAATTACATCAGCTGATGTAATCATGTAATTTTAGACATATAATTCTACATTTAGATAATTATTATGCTTTATATTAATATAAATGTGACATCTAAGATTCAGAATGGACTTCACAGTATAACTGTACATGTAAAACTCTGCATTAATTCACACTGTACCACAGTTCTGATGGGCACTCCTTCCTTATGTGCCTTAGTGTTTCCAGAAGCAGGATTCTCACCATGCTGCAATAAAAATAAGCATTTTACTTTGTACTCAGAATTGTATTAAAAGCTTTCTATACTTCATATTTTTATTTAATTCTCACATCAGCTCAGTAAAATAAACACCCTTTTCATGCTTACAGGTGGAGAGACTACAACGATGGAGATAACACAACTTTTGCAAAGATACACTAGTAAATGGTACACTGTAGATAGAACCAAATTATATACCCCTCAAGCTCAGCCACTAGATCATACTCCTTCAGAAAGAAGGAGAAAAGAAAAAGAAACACACAAAAAAGAAACAAATTATGAAAAAAAGAAACTAATTGTGATGATAGTAATCTAGGAAAACCAGCTGAGGTTCACATTAGTATTTTAAGATAAATGGTGATGCTGGCAGTGGTGAGCTGTCCAGAGTGGCCGGCTGCTGCGGGAAGTTGCAAGCGGTGGCGGCAGCATCCACTGCCGGAGCAGTGGCCGTGGTGGGACTCTTGTACCCCATGTCCCCTGTGCCTCGCGTCACTGAGGCATCTGACTGCACTGCCCCGACCCTTGAGCAGCTGGCGGGACCGCCCCCAGGCCCAGAGCCTTCACCACTCCTGCGTTGCTGCTCTCACCCTGCAGTTGTGGGGAGGGCATGGAGCTGGGGCCACCCTTCAGTGGCCTGGGGTGGGATGTGGGAGTGGCCTCACTTTGAGGACCAGGCCAGCGGCAAGGCCACTGTCCCACCCTGCCGAGGGCGCCCAGTTTCTGCGCCTCAGGAAGAGGCTCTACCTGAGGCCTCCCAGGGTTTTATCTCCGCGGGTGGCGACCAAGCCTGATGCTCCTGACAGCCAGGCCCCGGCTGGGATCTGTTCCCCAAGGTGCCTCCCCCGCCATATCCCGGCGAGAGAGAGCCCGGGGCACCCTGAGTGCTACGGGAATAATTTGCAGAGACATCACCCTTGCCCCATATGCCAGCCTGGGCCCAGCGGGGGGAGCCGCGCACCTCAGGCTGCCAGAAGGTGTGACAGGGGCTACCTGCAGGCTCCACGGAATGGGTTGGAAGCCCCGCCCTCCCGGCCCTCCCGGCCCTCCCTGCAGGCAGCAGGAGCCAGGCCTCTCTACGCTCTCAAGGCTGAGAAGGCCCCCCTGTCCATGCAGGCTTGGGGGTGTCTGCTCCCACTTTCTGGCCTCTCCCTTGGCCTCACCCGGGTCCCGGGTGCCCACTCTGATCTCAGAGTGGAGTTGGGGCAAAGCCCCAGTGCTGTCACAGACTGGCTGGGTGTGTGCACGCTCAGGGAAGTGTTGACACACCAGCCTTTTGCCACCTCAGTCACAGGGAAGCCAAGGGAAGATGGGCAGGTAATATTTGCAGTAAGTTTCTTATAGGAAGCATGTCGATGGGTCATTGTTTTTCACTCTGACATTTGTCTTTTTACACACTTTACATGTAATGCAATTATTAATATGTGAGCTCTTATGACTGCCATCTGCTTTTTGTTTTCTTTTTTGTTTCCTTTGGTTTTTTCTTCTCTGGTTTCTTTTCCTATGTTCCAATGTGTTCCTTAAGCAATTTTTAGAATTCCATTTTTAAATCAATCATTTTTTGGTTTATCTCATTGTATAGTTTTTGTGATTTATCTATCTATTAACATAACTTATCATAGTCTACTGGTGCTGACATTTTACCAATTTGACTAAAGTGTAGAAACTTTGCCTCCTTTATATCCCTTTCCACTTCCGCATGTATAATATATATTTTTAATTTTCTCTACTTGCATCAAAACCACATCTGTCAATGTTGCAGTTTTTGCCTCAACCATCAAATTAATTTACAAAACTGAAGAAGTCTGTTGTATCTAACCATATTTTTACTCACTTATTGTTTACTTTTTTCCCAATTATCCAGGATTCCTTCCATTATCATTTCTATTCCAGTTCAAACACTTCCTTTAGCCCTTGTTTTAACATAAGTCTGCTAGCATGAAATTCTCTTGATTTTCCTTCCTCTAAGTGTGTCATGGCCAGGCATGGTGGCTCACACCTGTAATCCCAGCACTTTGGAAGGCCAAGGCAGGCAGATCTCATGAGCTCAGGGATTCGAGACTACCCTGGGCAACATGGCAAAACCCTGTCTCTGCCAGAAATACAAAAAATTAGCCAGGCGTGGTGGTGCGTGTCTGTAATTCCAGCTATTCAGGAGGCTGATGTGTGAGGATTACAGGAGCCTGGGAAGCAGAGGCTGCAGTGAGCCATGGTCGCACCACTGCCCTCCAGCCTGGGTGACACAGCAAGACTCCATCTAAAAAACAAACAAAAAAAGAAAAAAAAGAAAAAGAAAAAAAAAGAATGTCATGATGGAACATTTTATAATAATGTTTTTACTGGATATACATTCTAGGTTAACATTCTTTTCAGCCATTAAAATATCTTGTGCCACTTTTGTCTGGTCTGCATGATTTCTATTGAACAATCCACTGTCATTTAATTTATTTTCTCCTGTGCATGAGATGTCATTTCTCTCTTGTTGCTTTCGAGATTTTTTTTGGCATAAATTTCTTTGGATTTATTTTCGTTTGGGTTTGCACAGATTCTTGAATTTTTACATTTAAGTCTTTGTCCGAATTTGGAAAATAGTCAGTCTTTCTTCAAACACTCTTTGTGCATCACCCATTTGTCATCTCCCTCTAAGACTCCAGTTACACAAATTTCATAGCTTTTGTTATAGTCTTACAGATTTATCAGCATGAAATAATACTAAATATTATGAACAACTTTACAAAAATAAATGTGCATGTAATAAATAAATTATTCAAAATGTACAATGTACTGAAGCTGACAAATAACATAAAACAGGAAGAGTTCCACATGTCATAGAGAAAGTAAGTCCATTCTATAATGCTTTCCCAAGACAAAACCCCAGGTTCATCTAGCTTCAGTAACTATTTAAAAATATTTAAGGAACAAACAACACTAACTTTATACAAACTTCAAACATATTTGAAAAAAGGAAAAGCACTTGCAGTTACGTTTGATGAGATCTGTGTAAACTTTACTTCAAGACCTGAAGGGAACTCTACAACGAATAGGAATTAAGAGACCAATAACTCTTATGAGCCAAGTTCTTAAGAAAATGTTAGCCAAGTGAATTCAGTGATATAAAAGATGGCTACTATATCACGACCAAGTGGAGTTTATTCCTGAAATGCAAGGTTATGTAAGCATTTGAGAATCAATTAGTGTGATTCACTACGTTAACTGAAGGAAGGAGAATACACATGCAACCACCTTGATAGTCATGAAATATGATTTGACAGAATTCAGCACTTGGCCTTAATTTTTAAAAAATCTGTTTTCAAACTTGTTTTAAAAAAATATTTCTCAATCTGAGAAATGATAGCTACCCAATTGCACACATTAGTCTCAGCAGTGAAATGTTTAAAACTGTCTCCTTCATATCTGGAGTACTAGACGAGTTAGAGAATGATAACAGCAAGAAAAATATATCAAAGAGATAATTGCATCCAGGTAAGATGGTCATTATTTACTCTTGACATAATCAGGTACTTAGGAAATAAAAACAATAGACAAGCTCATAGATTTAATAAGTAAATTTAAGTAATGTTGCTGATTACAAAGTCAGTATACATTAAACCAATTATTTTATTGATATAGTTTGGATGTTTGTCCCCTCCAGATCTCATGTTAAAATGTAACCTCCATCGTTGGAGGTGAGGCCTGGTGAGAGGTATTTTGGTCGGGGGGTGGGGCAGATCCTTCATCAATGACTTGGTGCCATCCTAGCTGTAATGAGTGAGTTCTCACTCAGTTCACATGAGATCTGGTTGTTTAAAGAAGTGCGACTCTTCCCCACTTTCTCTGTGCTTCTGCTCTCACCATGTGATACCTGGGCCCCCCTTTCCTTCCCCCATAATTGTTAGCTTCCTGAGGCCCTCACCAGAAGCAATTGCCAGCACCACACCTCCTGTACAGCCTGCAGAACCCTGAGTCAGTTAAACTTCTTTTCTTCATGAATTACCCAACCTCAGGTGTTTATTTCTGGCAATGTAAGAAGGGACTAACACAATTATGCTCTATAGTAAACAAATAGGAAACAAAACCAAGAAAATAATGTTATCGATTTCCTCACCCCTTTGCTTTTTTCTTCTACTTTTTTCAACTTAAATTTGTTTCTTTTTATTATTAAGTTAAAAGTTTACACCTTTGATTTTTACATATTTATCTTTTTATAATACAGGCATTTAAAACTAAATATTTTTCTCTAAGGACTGCCTTGGTTGCATCTCGAAAATTTTAAAAATTCATTGTAGTATTATTTTATTTAAAATTATTTTCTAATTTCCTTCTGATATCCTCTTTGACAAGCCACAGATTATTTAGAAATGTATTATTTTACTTCCAAAAATTTAGGCAGTTTTCTCAATCTTACTAATTTGTAATTTGATAAGATTGTGTTCAGAGAATATACTCTGGGTGATTTTATTCTTATGAAAGTAATTAAGACTAGTTTTATAGTCATAGTATGTGTTCCATTTCATGGATAATCTTTGTGCAATGTAAAAAAATAAATATTCTGTAGTTATGAGATGTTGTCAATTTATATGTCAATTATAAATGCCAAATAAGTCAAGATGGTTGAAAGCATTGTTCCTATCTTGATTTCCTTCCTGATCTTTGTTTGCACAAAGCTACAGAGATGTTCGTTGTCTTGTATCTACCTCCTTAGTTCCCACAGCAACAGTATGAAGTCAGAAAAAGTTCTGGAAGGAGAATCAGCTGACAGGGCAAAGTAGATATGTATTATTCAGGGGCCCTCTATAGATTGTAATGCATCACACAAGCCCACAGCGTTATTTACAACTCAGCTGGTTTGTCTTTACTCCCTCACAATCTCCCTTTCTCAGCCAGGCTCAATCTTCCACCCATGTTAAGATTCAGTAGATAGACCAAAGAATAAGAGTGGACACTTGACCCTGCTCGCATATGTGGAATTTGTTCATCTCTGGAATTTGGAATTTTTATACTTTTTGATCCACAGCTGGTTAAAATTTTAAAAATAAGATTATTTTCCAGTTTATCCATTTAGTTTAGTCTATATGTCTTTTTGCTCTTATGGTAACAGTGACAATTCTCATAATTTTCCATCTCCTAACTGGCATTATGGTTTATGATTTTTTTCCAATCCATGTTGATAGTCCTACATAATTTACTTAAAGCCCTGAATATTATTGCTTTCTGTGGTTATACCACAGTTTACCTTTTTTCTATCTAAATGTAGAGAGTGTTTCTTTTCTCCCCTGTTACATTTTTTATATGTCATCATGGACATATGAGGAAAAATTTACCGAGACTGTAACAATCCAGAGTGGAAATACTGTATTATCCCAACTACTCACAGGGTTACACCAATATATGCTCACAGTGCCCCACACAGCACCAAATGTCATCCTGCAGTGGCAGTGTGCTGTCACTTCACATGCTGCATAGTTTTTAGGATGTACAAAATTTTTATAATCAAGACAAATTAATCAGTTTTTCTTTTTGAATCTGGAAATGTTTTTGTTATTCCAAACTGTGGCTCAACAAACGACCAATTTTATGTCTCCTTGGGCTCATGTACGATTGTTCTTTAAGATGGATGTTTAGAATGGGATTTTTGTTGCTTTCATCAAGCGTGTGACAATTGTATTTTGAGTTTTAATAGATACTACTACACTGCCATAACTCAAAATCCTAATAATATGAGAGAGTCTATTCCCTTAGAATCTTCTAAATCCTTGAGTTTAAAACAAACTATTGTACTTGTTAATTTTGGAGTAGGAGAACTAGTTTATTACATTGCTGTTCGAATTTGGATTTTTCTGTTCATTGGTGAGTTTGAGCAAATATTTATATTTATCGACTATTAGGAAATTCTCTTCTATAGTGAGTCTATATCCTTTGCCCAATTGTCTATGGCATTTCCATGAATTTATTTATTGATAGTTAACAATTTTTCATAAGAAAGTTAGCCCATTGTCTGCCTTACGTGATCAAAATTTTTCCTGAGCGTCATATACTTCTTTTAATTTTGTTATTTTCTTCATGCAATGAAATCAGTAATTTTCTTCAAATATTTTTTCATTTGTGTCTTCTGGATTTTGTCTTGCTTACGAAGTCTTATTTTTTAAAAAAGAATTATTTTAACAGATTTACTGAAACATAATTTTCATACTACAAAATTCACTCACTGTATATGTAAAATTTAATGATTTGAGTAAATTAATAGATTTGAGCAATTATCACAACAATCCAGTTTTAGAACATTTCTGTCATGTCCCAAATTTCTCTATTTATATTTAAGTCCCACTGAGACCCCAAACCCTAGGCACCCAATGATCTGCCTTTTGTGTACATAAATTTACCTTTTCTAGATATTTCAAGTAAATGAAATCACACAACATGTAATCTTTTGTATCCAATTTCCTTCACTTAGTTAACATTATTGAAGTTCACAAGTTTTGTGGTATGTATCATCATTTTGTTTGTTTTCATTTCTTTTTGTCTTTTTTCATTTGTGTAAATGCATAAGGTAAAGTGTAGTTTTGGTACATGCATAAATTGCATAGTGGTGACGTCAGTGTTTCTACAGTATCCATTACCCAAATCACATGCATTGTACCCATTAAGTAATCTCATCATCTAGAGTGCAAGGGTTGAAACTTGCCTTGGGAAAACTATCCTCATGTTCATGGTGTCTCCCCTGCCAGATAAGTCTAGTTTTGTCCCCTTTTATTGTTGAATGATATTGCCTTGCCTGGATGTAGTTGAATTTTGTTTATCTGTTTACTAGTTGATGGAAATTTGGATTGTTTTCAGTTTGGGCCTACTACGGCTAAGGCTGTTCTGAACACTTGAACACATATCTTCGTGAGGACATATGTTTTTCTGTCTCTTAGGTAGATTCCAAGGAGTGAAATTGGTGGGTCATAGGGCAAACATATGTTAAACTTTTTAAGAAATTGCCAAATTATCAGGTATTTGTAGAATCATACACTCCCACCAGCAACACATAAGAAATTAGAAAGTCTATTTGTCTTCAAACATAATTATAATGATGATGATAGTATTAGAAATAACATCTGTCTTGTGAATTTTATATTTTCTCTTTATGTTTCAAGTTTTATTTATCCAGGATTTATTTAGTGAAAGAAATGAGTTTGGAATACAACTTACAAAAACTGAAACTAAATCTCAACTCTGTTTCTAATTCTAGACTCTGTCTTACTAGCATATTTAATTTAAAAAAAAGCAGTTACAAATGCATTTTTAAAAGTAAATGTATAGTATGTTTTAGAGCTTTATAGAGCTAGTCATTCCTTATTCTACTTTTTTTTCAATTTCCCTGGAAAATACATTTACCTCATAAAATAACATGTCAGCATAAATTGAGTTCTAAAAACAATTCTGTTTGCTTTTTTGTTTGATTGTAATTGAGTTAATGGCTGACATTTAATACTCTCTATATGTGTGTGTGTATATACACCTATATATACATATATACGTGTGTGTGTGTGTGTGTGTGTGTATGTATATAAAGACCCAAAGCCCTGAATTGAGGGTGCCTATCAGGAATCTATAGGCCTTCGTGTGGAAGTTAACTCAAATACTTACAACCTGATAGTACCACAATCTATCATTTCCCTATGATGAAATCAATCTCTGCTACTCCATCCACCATTTCTTTGTTTTTAAAAATATATGATTTTGCTCCTTTTCTTCCCATGTGCATCAGGCCCACTCTACAAAGGTTGAATCCTGGCTTGTCTGAGCCTGTGTGATCCCACGGTCATTCCAATGTATAAGAAAGTGGGTACTGGGAACACTCTGGAAACAGTTTAGTTGCTCCTTATAAAGGCACACAGGAGAAAGGAGTATCCTTTTCCTGCCTTTGGGAGTTGTTGTGAATGAATAACAAACCTAAAGCTGCTGCATGGGTCACCCTACCATCTCAGGAAAGCTGACGTGCTGTGTGTGATAGAGAGATGAGCTACGAAGTTCCAGGATCACTGGTGATGACACTGGCCTGCTGAGTTGAGCATCCCTGGAGATGCCCAGCCTTGGATCTATCGGCTATGTGAGATAATGGGTTAAAGAAAAATAAAGCCACTAGATGTAATTTCCTGTTATTAGCAGCAGAACACATCTTCACTGAAATACTCATTCCACACATTTTGGTTCTACCTTGTAATTCCACACCACGAGTCTCATATAAAATGAGAAAATCATTTCCTCAACTTAGGAAATGAGGCCTCTTTGTTGCAACTCTGTGATCAAACAGAACAGACATAATTATCAACTTAATATATTTCTATAGGATTTATACTCATAGGGTTTATATGTATGTATTGTGCTGCTACTTATGTACAAGTAACATATAACTAAAAATAAGATATGCATAAAAACAAGTTTTAATTTGATTGAAAATAAAATAACAGTCGTCTCTGACAGTGGAGAAACTATGCTCAAATGATTACTTTGAAATAGACCTCTAAATTATGTACTTTTGGATTTGACATTTCATACTGACTCTCAGATAGCACATAATAGAGAATCCTCCGTCTTCTAAATTTGTCTTTCTCTGAAATCTGTACAAGTCCTTTGATAACACTATATTATTGAAGTCTCTGGAGTGAAACACTATACACTAATTTACAGTTATAAATACAAAATATTGTAGACGGGGTGAAAAAAAGTTCTGATTGACTTGCTAGCTGGTTTCTCATCTCATGGTTGCCAAGTTTGTTTCAGTTGTTATAGTCTGTTCTCAGTTTTTATGCATTGCCTTTTTAAACATTAGGATTACTTTTTTGATTGACAAGTAAAAATTGTATAGTGTATTTATATTGTACAGAATGAAGTTTTGATATATGCCTATAGTGTGGAATGTCTAAATCAAGTTATTTTACATATGCATTACCTCACATACTCATGACATATACATGAAAATCATTATTCTATTGGGAAATAATCTTCCTTCCCTTTTTCTTTTCTTTTCATTTTTTGTCTTTGGAGCCAAATGGACCAGATGATATTTAACTCCATCTTTGAGAAACATTTAATAATGTAATGTGTTTGTGGTACAGGGTGAGTACAGATGCACAGGAGGCCATAGGGTTTAGGCAAAGGGGAGCACAAAAGTTGAAGATGAGGCACTGCCATCAAAGCTGTGGGGCTTCAGGCCAAGAACAGGAGCTGAGGAAGCCACAAGGGAGGACATTTTCTGCAGTTGCTGAACCAGTAGCAACCAGGTCCTGAGAAAGCCCTCTCTTGTGGAAGAATAACAGCCAGGAGGGAAAGCTTTTCATCCTGCAAAGCTGGGGCAGAAAGTTCTTCTTTGAATGTGTCATCTGCACTTCAGCTCAGGAATCCTGCAAAAGACAGAGGAGAGTGTTGTTTTCAACCTGACTCTACTAACAGTTTCTTTTCCTCTCTTTCAGGGACTCAGATGAGAGCACTGCAGGAAGAAGAAAAACAAGTTCCTGAGTCTCCCAGAGCCAATAGTCCCACAGAGCACAGGCCTTTTCTAAGTGGAGAGGAGGAGTTTTGGTGTAAATTGCCTGATCAGAAATTTGGATCCAAAGTCTTTCCTATTATTTCTGTCTCATGCCTTATCACCTCTACCATCAATTCTAGTGTGTCCAGAGTTTGTTCCTTCCGGTGGGTTCGTGGTTTCGCTGACTTCAAGAATGAAGCCGCGAATCTTCACAGTGAGTGTTACAGCTCTTAAAGGTGGCACAGACCCGAAGAGTGAGCAACAGCAAGATTTATTGTGAAGAGCAAAAGAACAAAGCTTCCACAGCATGGAAGGCGACCTGAGCGGGTTGCTGCTGCTGGCTGGGGTGGCCAGCTTGTATTCCCTTATTTGTCCCCGCCCATGTCCTGCTGATTGGTCCATTTTAAAGAGCATTGATTGGTCCATTTTACAGAGTGTGGATTGCTCCATTTTACAGAGTGCTGATTAGTCCATTTTACAAACATCTATCTAGCCACAGAGTGCCAATTGGTGTGTTTTTACAGAGCACTGATTGGTGCATTTAGAAACCTCTCCTAAGACAGGAAAGTTCTGCAAGTCCCTACCCGACCCAGAAGTCCAGCTGGCTTCACCTCTCACTAGGGAAACCGTATCTGTTTCTAAAAGAGGATTAAAAGGTATTACCTCTTGGCTGAAGTCCAGAGTGTCCTGGGAAAAAGAGGAAAATATATACACTTAAAATTTATGGAAGCAAATCTGTCTTCCAACACAATGTCCCAGCCCCAGATCTCCCACCGGAGAGTTCTCTGTCACTACAACCCACACCAGCCAGGGCAGAGAGGAGCAGAAACAGACCATGTGACCCATGAAGGGTAAAGTGTCTGTCACAGGATCCAGTGTAATTCCATTAGTCTTAGTGGCTCTTCCTTAATCTGCTCCAAGATCTCAAACCAAAGGACCCCTACTTGTTAACCTTCCTCTTGTCTCTGCAGGCCACAAGCTATTATGCTTTCACATAGTAACCATGCACTGATGATTTCTGGATTAGCAGGACATTAGAGCCGTTTGGGGAAAGAAAGGCTTTATTCAGGGCCACTCATATACTGAGAACTAACCTCAGCAAAGCCATAGTTCCTCCTCCAGAAAAGCCTATGGAGAGAGCCAGCTACCAAAGGCTCCTCACCTTTCTGATTCCTGAAGTAGATGAACAGCCCGGCCCCAAGGAAGAGCAGGCCCAGCACAAAGCCCCCGACTCCACTCAGCATCTTGCTCTGTGCAGATTCAGACCGTGCTCCTGAGAGAGGAAGCCAGGTTTAGTGTTTATTCCAAATTGAACCTCTTTAATTGAGACTCTAAGATTCAGAGCTTTGAAAATGGGGAAGAAGTCTGACCCACAAGAACTAAAATAACTAGCCATTTCTGGAGAAAAAAAGGATTTCAAATCACACTGAACAGTTACAAGGTTCAGACATCAAACTCATTCAAATATTACAGCCTTGATGTAAGGCAAGAGTTCAACATCTGATCCACAGAAAGCCTGAGACTCAATGAGGCTAAGTAGTTTGTCTAGAGTGACAGAGCTAATAAAAGGCAGAGCTGAGATTGGACTCCCCTCATGTCAGGAAGGCCCCTACACTTCTCCTCTTCCCAGATCACAACAAATAACTCAGATCAACAGCACCAGAAACTCAGTCTCAGACCCAGAGGCAGTGCCTGGAGCCCGGGGAGGGTGGGTGACCCTGACCTGTGACATCATGGGGAGGTTCAAAAGAGGGACAGCCTCTCCTGCCTGGCAGGCGAGACTGCTTCTCCAGGAGGTACAGGTGTTTCTAGAAACACCTACAGGGCTACCCCCAGTGACCTGTGCTGATGGAGATGAGAACATGGAGCAAATGAAAATAGGATGTCGGAGAGGAGAAACCTGACACTCAGGGATGAGCACAGTCCCCTTCTTGGTGGGTGAGAAATTTATGAAGTCAGAAAGCTGCTCACTCCATTCCACTGTGAGAGGGCTTGTCACGCTTGGGTGCTCCACTTGGCAGGTGTAAACCTCTCCACTCCGAGGAACTGTTTCCAGCATCACCAGGGTCTGGAAGGTCCAGTCTCCATTGTGGATCAGGCCTGTGGACACCACCCCAGTCTTCTCTTCCTGGCCATTCCGGAACCACCTGACTTCAATGCTGCCTGGATAGAAACCACTCACAGAACAGACCAGGAGGTTATGGTGCTGCAGGGGCTGGGTCTTTGAAGGATACACAGTCACCTTAGGATGGACTAGGAGAAAAAAGGTAGAGGGAATGAGTCATGAAGACAGAGTAAGTCTCCTTGTTTGGCTGTTTGTCTGCTTCTCTGCAAACCCAGGCTCTGACCTTGACCAGGCCTCCAGCACAGCTGGCCATGTGGCCTTACAGTGTCATCAGCCTGGAACTTAATCTTGATAGTGAGGACCTATTAGATTTGAGAGATATTGTGAAAAATTGTGTTTGTTTCTTCATAGCTTGAAATTGTCATGCATTGTCAAAGTGTTTACAAATCTTTGAAAGTACAGAGTGTAGTAATTAAAACTGATATCTGAGCCAGGTTGCCTGGTTCAAATCCAAGGTCTGCCTTAAGAGTTTGATTCTTCTGTGTCTCAACTTTGTCACCTATAATGAAGGATAATTATACTAATTTACCTCTTGGGATTATATGAGGATTAATGCATGTAAAATATATAAAACAATGCCTGAAGATAACCTTCAATTTATGAGGTCATAAAGCTTCACACTCCATTCCACTGTGAGGGGGCTCATCACACTTGGGTGCTCCACTTGGCACCTATTTATCATCCTTGTACACCTTGACAGAAATATATGATTTAAAACAATGTTGATAGATAACGGGACAGAGTTGGGTACATGACGAAACCGAATATGAATTTTTAGGAATACTACCGCCATGCACTCACACCTTAGAACACCACAGAAATGGTTCTGCCCCTGGGAAGGTGGGACAGACAGAAATGATTCTCCAAATTTTTACTTTCCCAGAAAAGCATGAGTCATAAAGCAGAGAGAAGGATTAAGGAACGTCATTTTAGTTTTGAAAGTTCTTATATTTACATTTAGCTGATCAATGCATCTCCCATGCAACACAAGCTTAATTATTATTAGGCCTATCATTGTAAAATGATTTTTCTTTCCAGAATCACATTTGGATTAAGGCAGTGTCTGGGACTCGTCACTTGGGGTGCTTATGCCCAGGAAAATCCCTAACACTAGCAGACTCTCAATAAATGCAATTTTTTTTAGAAGTAAGGAGAAACCTGGAGACAACAATACCACAAAATGGCAGATTTAAGATGGATTGTAAATCATTAATAAAAATTTTGCAACATATTTTATTATATAAAAATGTTCAAATTCTTAACATGGAAAAGAATTTTCAAAATCAACATACAAACCACAAACTGGAGCAAATGCTGAATCAAATATCAATAAAGTGTTAATAATCTCACAGTACAAAGAACCCACAAAGTCACTGAGAAAAATACTAAGCCCTCGAGATATTAGGCAGTAGATCATTGTCCATTCCCTACCAAATACAATAGGGAATTCTTACAGCAGTTATTAAAACTGGCCAATAAATAGGTCAAAATAATTCAAAAGAATTATAAATGAAAAAAATATAAATTAAAAATTAACCAGAAACATACATTTTCAAATTTTGGTGAATGTCATAATAAAGGTCAACAAAGGGGAAAGTGAGGTAAGTTGTGTCACAACTATTATATATAAAAGAATAATATGTAACTACTAGAAAACTATTAGCATTATAATAAAATAGTAACTGTGTTAAAACTTTAATTCAAAAAGTTAGTTTCACAGTCATTTCTACTATGTAAAAATATACACAATAAAAAACAAAAAACTAGCAAGAAATTTAGACCTAAAGAAGCTTCAGAGATGCCTCAGAGGTCTCCTCAATTCCCCTAGAAATTAATCTAATGCTTTTACAAACAAACAGCACACACTTTTATTTCAGAGATTACATGAAGGGTGTGTGCCAGGGACAGTCTGGAACTGGCCTCCTCACATTATCCCAAACCTTCCTTACCCCTCAGCTCTCCTCCCCTAAACCTTCACCCCAACCACACACCCCTTACATTTCCCTTCCCTGCATCTCTAAGGACCCGAGACAATCAAGGTCACCTCTCTCTCCAGCCGCCCGCACCCACCTCCCTTGTCACCTCCCCACAGAGTCCTCCAAGAATAAGAAGCAGCCCCCTCCTGCCTCCCCTCCCACAACAGCCTCACAGACACAGACAAATCCACACTCTACACACACACCTGTGCCCTCAGAACTCCTTGCTCAGGATAGAGAGGATTCTAAATGCTCACAGATGGCGCTCTCTCTCTCTGTCTCTCTGTCTCTCTCTCTCACACACACACACACACACACACACACACACACACTCAGATTCCCAGCTCACAGGGACTCAGGCCCCGCCCCGCGCCGCGCTCACCTCGCCGCTGCACTGTGAAGCTCTCCACAACCCCGTAGTTGTGTCTGCAGTAGTTGTCCACCCGGCCCCGCTTCTGCTCCAGGAGGTCCTTCTGGCTGTTCCAGTACTCGGCATCAGGCCGCCCCAGCTCCGTCACCGCCCGGAACTCCCCCACGTCGCTGTCGAAGCGCACGTTCTCCTCCTGGTTATGGAAGTATCTGTCCAGGTACCGCACCCGCTCCGTCCCATTGAAGAAATGACACTCAGACGTAGAGTACTCCAAGAAACGTGCTGTGGGGACACGAACGATCCAGTCACACAGGCGGCCTCCTGAGAAGACACTGACAGTGACGCCGCCATCCGGGGCTCCCTGGGTGGGGTGCGGGCACTGGGAACCTTAACCGGCCCCCGCCGCAACGCCCACCACCAGCAGCCCAGGGGCTCCTCCTCTGTCTTCCTGAGGCGAAAGGGGGCCTGGGGGACCAGGCGGGAAAACCACGTCTGATCCCCAGGCTTTTGGGACCCCCCTCCCTACCTCCAGCCTGTTCTGGAGACCTCCAAGCAGGAGCTGGAGGAGGATCCGCCCAGCACCGCAGCCCGCGCCGCCTCCTCCTGGGAGCCTCCACCCCAAAGACACTCTGCTCCTTCTCTCATCCCACATGTTTACCGGTTCCTTAAACAGCACCCACCGCGTTCATCCTCTGAACCCTTCCTTAGTGCTGACCTTGTGCCTGGTCTGCGCTGCCTCTAGGAATCCAAACGAGGGAAAACAGACCTCTCCACTCCGCTGGGGGAGCTTAAAGAGCAGTGAAAGTGATGGCCCAACACCAAACACACAAGAGCTTAGACAGGAATGAGAAATGTCGGAAGTGTGGAGTTCTAGAACAGAGAATAATAGGATGATCTCAATTACATTAGGGTGCCAGAGAAGGACCCTCTTAATAGTGACGGTTCAGATGTGACTTGACAGGTTAAGCAGGTGTGAGCCAGGGGGCAGAGTGGAGCCCGTGTCTGTTTGGACAAAACGGGAGGCACATTTCAGGTTTAGGAAATCCCATGTACAAAAGCTTGAATTGATGAACTTCTTCAAAAAACTAGGAGAAAGTTCACTAAAGCAGAGAGGCTGAGGGGAAGGAGGGTAACAGATTAGCCCGGAGAAATCACAGGAGCCAGGTATTGAAAAGCCTCTTGGGTGGTGTTAGGATTTTGGATTTATACTAAGGACAATTGGAAAGTACAGAAGAGTTTTAAGGAGAATAAAATCATGATCCCTGTGAATGTCCACAAACCTTCCTTTGCATTTCTAAATCCACAAAGCTCAGAAATTCAGTTAAAAAAACTTGTTTCCACAACTCATCTGATAAGGGTAAGTGGTCGAAGGTGTCTCAGAGCTCTTATTGGTGACATGTGCTTCTGTACTTTCAATACATATAAATATACATACATATATGTGTGAAAATATGCACATATGTAAAACACTATATTTTTGATGTTTTTGTCTTTATGTTTGAAGTGTGAAAATGACAAAAATAACTTAAAAATAATCCTTGGGTAAAAGCGAAATGAATAAATAGAAGCATTTTACATTGTGAATAATATCAAATGTAGAATCACTACAGAAATCTGAGGCATGTTAGTGAGAAATAATTTCAGCAGCATCACTATTTGTGACTTACAAGGGCAAGTTGTTGAAAGTTAATAGAGATAGTGATGACCGACAACTCATGAAAATGTTGAAAAATATTGCATAAGGCAAAAAATAAATATGAAAATATTGAGCTTGCATTGACTAAATGGATTCAACAAGAAAGTGGTTGAATTTATGCAACTGTCTAATTGTTTATAATGAAACAAGCAAAAATAAAAGACTAAACTGTGTGGTGAGTGTATAACAGATGTGAGTCTAGAATTTTCAGAAAGAGCACAGTGTGAACCAGTGCTCTTAGCCTCAGCACTATTGACATTTTGGACCAGATAATTCCTTGTTGATGGCAGAGGCTGTTCTGAACATTGTGGGTTCTCTAGCAGTGTCCCTGGCTTCTACTCATTGAATATCAGAAGAAACCCCTGTTTGTGACAACCAAAAATTGTTCCAAACATTGTCACCGTTCCCCAACGATGATGAGAGGGAAGGGAGGGGTGGTGAACCATCCCTGGGTAAGTACCACAGGTGTGAATCATCTGAAAAAATCTGTGTTGAACAAGCTACTATTAGTTATGGAGCAGCTGAGAATTGCATTGAAAAATATTTGTTGAAAATCTTGGTCCTATGTAAAAAGAAGGTTTTGTAGAATTCTGCTCCCAATACAGTGCTATCTTTCCAGAAAATGAACTTGATGAGAACCAAGATTTAATGATTTCCTTGCCTTACCAAGCAGTCACTAATCATATCATTTATCATTCACATCATCTTTTTTCTTAATTTCTCTGCCACTGGTCCACTAATTATCTGTAGTAATGAGTCACAACCACAGCTATTTTATTCCCGTTAAATGCCCCAACTAACTCATTTCTTTCAGTCTCCCACTCCCAACAATACTAGCAGGCATCAAATTACCAGCCTTGGCCAGAGGCAGAACTCTTGGTTTTGTAGTCAAGTCCCCTCGGAAAGGAGGAAACCAAGAAAATGACATTCTCATACAGACACTTTACAAAAATGAGCAGCTCCCCAGACTGTGAGCAAGACCTGCAGAAATCTCCCTTTGCCCTTTAGAAATGGTGGCAGAGAGGTGTGCACCCTGGATCAAGCAATGTCTATCTTTTTATCCCTAAATTATCTAAGCACTTTCTTACAGAGAAAGTTAAAAATAAACATGTGTGAAGTTGCTGTCACCGTGGCTTGCATGGTTAGCACTGTAATCCATGTCCATGTGTCACACTTAGGGTTGACAGATGTGGCAAATAAAACCAGAGGATGCCCAGTTAAATTTGGATTTTCAATAAATTATGGTTTTGTATCTGAAATTCAGATTTCACTAGGAACATGTATTTTATTTGGTAACTCTAGCCCAACTTGCTAGTCAAACCTTAGAAGAAGGAGTGATTTAATACTTCCTTGTGTTCTTCAACACATGACCATTATAGACATACAGAACTTTTAAAATGATAAATGCAAAATGAATGAAAGTTTCCCCAATACATCGGAACTAGCAGCCCTTGCATCTCTATCCCCACTCTAAGAAACAACCTGGTACATATGAATATCAGAAATTCTGTCAATAATTCAGACACAATATAGTCACTACTCACTAATGATGGACAAACTCTCAAACTCTAGAATCAGAAAACCTGAATAAAAACATGATCTCTTCTACTTGGGTCAATTTTTACCAACCATAAGCCTTTTTGTAATCTATCAAATGCATTTAATAATAGCGTAATCCTCACGAGATTACTGTTAAGTGTAAAATTAAATGATGACTCTTCTTAGCACTGATCACATACTCAAATACATTCCCATTTAAACTTTTATGATCCCTATAACTACAGCTCACATTATTTTTTGTATTCCTTAATTCTAAAGCAATTACTATCTTCATCATGATTTTGCAGTTGTCTTCTGTTCTTCTATGAGTTTCATAAAGAATTGTCATTCTGAAAACATAGGGCAGAAACACTGGTTTATGTCTAATAATGCAGTCCAGCTAAACCTCACACAAAAGGCATCTGCTGACATAGAAGAAAGGGACTTTCTATATGCTCAGATTTAAACTGCAATCTGATTTCCAGCACTCAATTTGTAATACTGGGTTTTACTTATAACCTCTCAATTTTAGATTCCAGAGATGTATATGTTTTTAAACACCACAGATACAGCAGGATCATTATTGAAATTGCATACTGAAATTCACAGGCCTGGTACACAGTCACTGCAAAATGTTACATGGCATATACTGATGGCGACCGGATTCATTTTATTTATCACTCCATTCTCATGACCTAGAGTAATAACTGGTATATTCTATGTCACTAATAAATATTAGCTGTGTGAAATACTGGCTGTGTTAAATATTGGCTGTGTGACCTTCTGCATGAGTAGTCATCACTGCACACAGGGGCTTTCTAGTATTTCCTCGCTAATAATGACTGAGCATCTCTGGTTCACAGGTCCTCCTGCTTCTCTTCAGCCTCTTTAGCCTTTTCCTTTTGATCCAGCTGGCTCCCTGAACCCAGAGTGCAGTCCTTCCCTGAAGCTCTCTACTCAAAACAGTCAATCTTAACCTCATCCTCACTTCTACTCGCTCTTCAAATTGTCCAATCCAGTTTCCTCCCTGGATACTCCACTGACTGCAAATATCAACTCCACCAAACCCAGCACTTGCTTCTCTGTCACGTTCTCACTTCCCCCTCCGCTTAGTGGTACTCACCACAATTGGCCTCTCCCTTCTCCTTGAAAAAAATCTATTTTCCTTGACGTACACGCATCATGTTCTCTTGATTTTTCTCCAACATCCCTGGGCTCTTTCTCAGCCCCCTTTGCTGGCCTGTGCCCTGTTCTTTTTTCTCCACACAATCCATCTCCCTATGTATCCTCTTCCACTCCCTGGAATTTAACACACTACACGTATTGATGCCGCCAACATAAATACTTGAAGCCCTAGCCTCACCATGAGTCTCTTAAATGCCATTGACCTTCTGATTGCTCCACATAAATGTCAATAAATCATCTCAAATTTAAACAAAACTTTTATTTCCAACCACCCACTTCAAATAATTTCCTCCCATAGTTTTTCCTATCTCAATAAACAACACTACCACCCACTTATTTGTCAAAACAAAATCCTTAGGAATAAGCTTGATTGTTCTACCCCCTTTACAGTAATTCATTAACAAGCTAAGGAAAAATACATGCCAAGTCTGTCCACTTTATCTTTTTCACCGTCTTTATCACTAATGCACTCCATGAAGCCACAAGCCTGTTTTCGCTGGAGAATTCCCTGCTGTGCTCCTAAATAGTCTTCCTGACCACTTGTGAACCCCAACATTCCAATCCCCACAGAGTAGCTAGAATTAGTTTTAAAAATTGAATATAGGCCGGGCGCAGTGGCTCAGGCCTGTAATCCCTGCACTTTGGGAGGCCAAGGTGGGTGGATCACGAGATCAGGAGATCGAGACCATCCTGGCTAACATGGTGAAATCCTGTCTCTACTAAAAAATACAAAAACTTAGCCAGGTGTGGTGGCATGTACCTGTGGTCCCAGCTACTCTGGAGGCTGAGTCAGGAGAATCGCCTGAACCCAGAAGGCAGAGGTTGCAGTGAGCCGAGATTGTGCCACTACAATCTAGCCTGGGCAACAGAGCAAGACCCCATCACCAAAAAAATAAAATAAAATAAAAATAAATTGAATATAAATTGACTCTCCTTGTAACCATACAGTAGCTTCTCGTATCTATTTAAATAAAATTCAGTCCGGCCGCGGTGGCTCATGCCTGTAATCCCAGCACTTTGGGAGGCCAAGGCAGACAGATTATCTGAGGTCAGGAGTTCGAGACCAGCATGGTCAACATGGTGATACCCGATGTCTACTAAAAATACAAAAAAATAAAAATTAGCCAGGTATGGTGGTGGGTGCCTGTAATCTCAGATACTTGGGAAGCTGAGGCAGGAGAATCACTTGAACCAGGGAGGCGAAGGTTGCAGTGAGCCGAGATTGCACCATTGCACTCCAGCCTGGGCAACAAGAACGAAACTCCGTCTCAAAAAAAAAAAAAATAGGCCAGGCGTGGTGGCTCACACCTGTAGTCTCAGCACTTTGGGAGGCTGAGGCAGGTGGATCACGAGGTCAGGAGATGGAGACCACCCTGGTTAACATGACAAAATGCCCTCACTACTAAAAATACTAAAAATTAGCCAGGCGTGGTGGCAGGTGCCTGTAGTCCCAGCTACTAGGGAGGCTGAGGCAGGAGAATGGCATGAACCCAGGAGGTGGAGCTTGCAGTGAGCTGAGATCACGCCACTGCACTCCAGCCTGGGCAACAAAGCGAGACTCCATCTTAAAAAAATAAATAAATAAATAAATAAAATAAATAAATAAATAAATAAATAAATAAAATAAAATTCAAATTTTTTACCGTGGACATCAGAGCCTATAATGATGAGGCTCCTGACTTTCTCTCTGTGTCCTACCTCATCTTCTGCCTCTCCATTTCCTTACTTTCTATACATCAGCCCCTCTAGCCGTCTTTCTCTCTCTCCACATAATTTCCCACACCAGGGCTTTCCCCCCATTTGGTCTCTCTGGAGCTTTCGTCCATTAGATCTTCATGACTGTCTACTTATTTTGTTGTCTCAGCTGAATGTCACTTTCTCAGGTAGAGCTCCCTAAACATATGAACTAAAGTAGGTGAATCCATGTCTCTCTTCTTCACAAACCTGATGTCTTTTCTTCAGTGCACTATGACTCTCTAATATTTTATTCTTTGTTAAATGCTTATTGGGTTAGTGTCTGTCTCCTCTATTGTTGTGTAACTTCCATGAGAGTCGGGACCCTCTCTGTCTTAATCAAATAGAATGATCTGAACCTAGAATGGAGCCGAGTACACAGTAGCTGCTAAGAAAAATAAGTGTGGTTTACATGAATAAACCAGGGTATGGGAAGTGATAACTGTGGGGATCTTGGAAAGCAAGAAGGGGCTCAAACTCCAGCACTCTTTCATTCTGATGTCACACTAGACCCCTTCTCCTCCTGGTGAGAAATACAGGCAAACTTCTTTCTCCTCCTTCTAGTTGGAAGAAGAATTCACAGATAAAGAAACAGTGATTTAAGAAAAAGGACTTTTTTTTATTGAGAGTCATCTCTTTTTGCCTGGGCACAGTGGCTCACATCTATAATCCTAGCATGTTGGGAGGCCAAGGCAGGTGGATTGCTTGAGTCCAGCAGTTTAAGACCAGCCTGGGCAACATGGCAAAATCTCATTTCTACCAAAATTACAAAAATTAGCTGGGCGTGGTTGCCTGCCTGTATTCCCAGCTACTCTGGAGCCTGAGGAGGGAGGATCACTTGAGCGTGGGAGGCAGAGGTTGCAGTGAGCCTCGATCGCACCACTGAGCTACAGCCTGGGTGACAGAGCCAGGCCCTATCTCAAAAAGAAAAAAACTATCTCTTTCAATGGATCTCATAGTGCTAAGGATCTGTGCAAGCTTTAGAGATTTCTGGAAATGATAACAACATAGCTGGGGAAAAATAAGAGAGAAACTGGAGGAAGAGGTAAGCAGACATGGCTAATTAAGGAAAGTTGAGGGCATGATGGGTGAACCTATGAAATTTAGGACAAGACCCCAGTAAGACAATGAGTTCCCAGGACTTGCCCATTGACTTTCAGCCCTATGAGATGTGAACAATGTCCACATTGTCTCGGTAACCCCACACAGAGTATATAGTTTGAACATTATTAAATTTTTGATATTTGATTATTTTTGACTTACAAAAATAGAATTTTATATAACTCATACTACGTTAGTTAAATCTCTTCTGTCATGTCTAGTTGGAGCACTTAGGAGATGTAGGAGAAACAAGTATAGAAAGGTTAAAAGAGATTCATAATAAACACTAACCTGGGCCAGGTTTTCAGAGGATGCCTTAAGTTCTTTAGGCACCAAAGAATACCTCATAAATGCTCTGTATCTGTAAGGTGACTCCAAGTACTAAAGATCTCAGCTTCAGTTCCAGGGATTTTTCCCCACAAGAAAGAAAGAGCACTAAGTATAACTTCTGTCAGACAACCTACATACACTACAGGGGTACAGGCTTTATAAACATTGGAGTTCAGAAAGAAAAGAAAGTAGATAATGGGGAGGCCACTGGGTCCATCCTCACATATGAGGAAGAGGGGCCAACACCAAAGGTCCTGTGGGTGACATAACCCAGGATCGTTTAGGAGAGACCCTTTAAATTCCCTTGACTTCCACAAAATTTTCAGAAAAAACCTCCTTTGTCTGACATAAGTCAACATAATAAAGGCAAGTGCTGTATGGGGAATTTATTTTAGCATCCTTATTTCTAAATCCTCTAAAGACCCTGAGGACATGTGATGCAAAGGTTTTATTGGTGGAGATTTGAGTAGAAATGACCTGTATGGAGGCCCCTTACACAAGTCTCATGGAGTGGGCAAGTAGCCAAGCTCCTTTTGTGGTGGGGAAATTATTTGGGATCCATATGATAAAGATGGGCAATCTCTGAAAAATACGTCACAATTTCTTAAGGTACATGGCCTGGGCACAATGTTAACAAAACTCCCTATTTTCCCCACCCCATAGTAGCTCAGCACCCACAATGTGCACTTACGTCTGGTGTCCCCAGCCAAAGCCAGTGGGGAGCTCAGCACCATCAGTGTCACTGTCAGAACTGCCATGCAGGAGCCTCCAGGGAGCCTCAGACACACCATGCTGGAGAACAGGACAGGACCAGGGGCCAGAGCAGCAGGCAAGTCTCACTCAGGGAGAACTATGAACCCCTCCACCCACATTCCAAGTTATAGGGAGTAAGTTACTGATTTCCTTGCTCCTGGATTGGGTAATCTAGTGTTGGAGAACGAATCAGCATCTGAGTTCAATAGCATCATCAGTTGCTGGTCAGAGATGCTGTATGAAGGTCCTCTTCTGAAACAGAATTTCCTTCTTTACAGGATTGTTTTTAGTACTTGAAAGGTTTGAACCAGTTGCATGTAAAACACTTTAATTGGGGCGGTATTTTTAGCCCCAATTATTTTAGCTCTGTGCTGGTCAGTGATGTGTTCACAAGTTTGAGCCTTGTAAGAGCATTCATTTCCCACTTGACAAGAGAACTGTTTGCAGGAGTGAGTGTGTTCAGGAGTAAAGGAGATGGAGGGGACATGGTTGCAAACCAGGAGACCTTAATCTGGTCCTGTTGCACTATATCTTACTGTTGTAGATTTGTGAAAATTACATCATGTCTCACAGTTGAAATGAAGGCACCGTGATCTTTCAGGTCTTTCAATACTGGAAAATGTGATTCTGTGGATGCCTCAGGGAGCAGCAGCCCTGGGTATCTGATGATATGACAGAATGACAGCTGTTGACTGGAGAGTGTAATCTTTACCTATTTACAGGTAGAGATGTCTCTAATAAGTTAAAGGAAATTGAAAGTTAGTTAATAATTTAATCTTAGTAAAAAGAGTTTTTTCAAGTGTATCTCCTGATGCTTCCCCCAAGTTTAGTGGCACCTCCAGAACACACACAGGCAAGGGGTTTGCAGGGGCCACCTATATGCAATGGAGGGTCTGAATGTGCCTTTGTATAGCACTTACCCTAACAATGCGATAAGGTCAACTGTGCAATCCAAGTATTCATGGGTCTGAGAGATCGATCAAGGACTCAAAGTCAGCTGTTGACAGAACAATTTTGTTTTAAAATAATATTTTATGTGAAGAGTGTTCAATCCCTCATTCCTGGTTCCCATTAGGATTTCCTCATTTGATTGAGACTATGGCCCTTTACTATTCCACTTCTCTTGTTTTATCGTAAGGGAATATATAAGAAGACTTTGCTGGCAGGACGTGGTGGGTCATGCCTATAATCCCAGCACTTTGGGAGGCTGAGGTGGGCAGATCACTTGAGGTCAGGAGTTCAAGACCAGCCTGGCCAAGATGGTGAAACCCCGTCTCTACTAAAAAAAAAAAATAGAAAAATCAGCTGGTCTTGGTGGTGCATGCCTGTAATCCCAGCTTCTCGGGAGGCTGAGGCACAAGAATTGCTTGATTCTGGGAGGTAGAGGTTGCAGTGAGTTGGGAGCACGCCACTGCACTCCGGTCTGGTTGATGCGGCGAGACTCAGTTTTAAAAAAAAAAGACTTTGCTAACTAATACGTTACAGAATGTTCAGGAAACAGAACCCTAGGGAAAATCTGTGATTTACATCAGTTGATGTAATCATATAATTTTAAACATACAATTCTACATTTAGATAGCTATTATGCTTTGTATTTATATAAATGTAGCATCTAAGATTCAGAACGGACTTCAAAGTATAACTATGCAGATAAAGTTCTGCATTAATTCACACCCTACCACAGTTCTGATAGGCAGTCATTCCTTATGTGCCTTAGTGTTTCTAGGAATGGGATACTCACCATGCTGCAATAAAAATGACTAAAATTTCTTAGCAATTTTTGAGCATTTTGCTTTGTACTCAGAATTGTACAGAGCTTTCCATACATCATATTTTTAATCAATTCTCACATTAGCTGAATGAGGGATATAACCTTTTCATCCCTACAAGTGAAGAGAATAAAATGATGGAGATTAAACAACTTTTGCAAAGATGCAAGGCTAGTAAACAGTAACTCGGCCTCCCAAAGTGCTGGGATTACAGGCGTGAGCCACCACGTCTGGCCTGCAAAATCTTCTTATATCTTCCCTTACGATAAAACCAGAGAAGTGGAATAGTAAAGGGCCATAGCCTCAAACAAATGAGGAAATCATAATGGGAACCAGGAGTAAGAGACTGAACACTCTTCACATAAAATATTAATTATTTTAAAGCAGAGTTGTTCTGTCAATTCTATTGAACCAAGTTATTATATATGTAATTCCAAACCCCTCAAGCTCTGTCGTTATATTATACTACCTCACATTCAATTTCTAAAGAGAATTATGTCCATTATACTAAAATTATTTTTATCACTTTAATTCATGGCTGTGCAAATCAGTAAGACTACTTCTTTTAATGAATGGCAACATTTTATAGACCTTGGGGTAGATACTTTGTAGCAATTCTAGTTATTTCAAAAGATTCCCCTCATCACCATGGTTACTCTCCTCTGGAAATGACACAATTTGCGTTTATGTTACGTAAGGACATCCATAGCTCCTGCTTTTATCCTGTAATACTAAGGTGAACCTTAGCTTCCTTTCCTAGGTCACCACATCACAATTAGTTAATTAGTTAATTAGGCAAAAATAAGTAATTCTACATCAAGAATGTACTAAAATACAGTTAAAAGGAAACTTTCAAAACTTGTTTATATAAATTTGACACACTATTTATAAATCATACAAATTTATATTTAAAAAGATGGCCAATGGCAATGAACTAAATTCTGTATGTTTTATACATTTATGAGTAACAAAGATGTTGTCTTAGTTTATTTGTGCTGTGATAAAATACAGTAGACTGGGTAATTTATAAAGAACACATGGAGGCTGAGAAGTCCAAGATTAAGGCACCAACAGGTTCAATGTCTGGCAAAGGGCATGGTCGCCACTTCCAAGATGGCGTCTTGCATCCTCCAGAGGGGATGAACGCTGTGTACTTACATTGTAGAAGGTGGAAGGATGAGAGGCTAAAAACTGTGTGAAGCGTGTTTTACAAGGGCCTTAATCCCATTCATGAGTGAGGAGCCCTACCTGAATTTTAAAGGAGACACACTTATACTACAACAGATGTGCTTCTTTAAATTATATATCTCACACTTTCCTTCAATATTCAATATAAGGATAGTTCAGGCTAAACAATGTAGCAACTCTCACCAAACCATCAGTCACATAGGTGGTCTAATAGGCTGAACTTTTTCACGGAAAAAAGAGAATAATCCTCTCAACTCAGCTGGCTGTGAGAGGTGTCAAATATGAGAGCTTATTTCCTGAGGAAATGACAATTAAATTGGTTTCTGGAAGAAAGTGGCTTTCAGTACGGAACTTCCATGGTCTCTGGTCTTGATGCATGAAACCATAGGTTTGGTTTTACGGGAAATAAATCCCAACATTCCCAGGACTAAACAGGTAAAATCGGAAGCACAGACTTTTGTTGAACAACAGGCAGGTTGACATTGGTAGGATTACAGCATGTCTTGAGTCCTACTGATTGTCACAGAATGGGGCTCACTTGTAGTAAGCCTGAAAGCTTGCAACACATTTTGGAAAAATAGGCTCTTTTGGCTATCAGCAAGCCTTAGTTATCATAGAATGTCTGCCACTTGTCCAAGTAGTCTCAAAATGTTCTCAGGGGTTTTCAGAAAGCAACCACCACTAATCTGGAATTTAAAGTAAAAAGCAGGTTACTAATCCTTATATCTAAAGAAAAAATGATAATAACAATAAATGGATAAACAGGACCAGTTTCTTCTTAGCATGGAAGATATGTATCCTGAAACAGAAAACGGTGCCATTTAAAGGCCTTACTAGTATTCATCACACTTGACAGGACCCTTTCCAGTAAAATTTCAGCAATGTCCTCCATTGAGGAACTTTGGTAGTGCCAATCATTACACCATGACACTATCTAGGTCAGTTGACAGGACTTCTTCAACTTCCAAATGTCATTCTTTGACTCAACTTAGCTGTTTTATAACAGAATGCTTGCCATTGCATAGTTAATAGAGAGAACAACTAGAATTCCCATAGGCCTTTGTACTAATATTGTAAGTACAAAGAATTTTCTTTTTATTTCTGTTTCTAGATCTTATGTTAATTGTACTGCGGTAAGTATCCACCTATCTATCCAGTCCAAAATAGGCCAGATTATTTTTCAAAATTTCATTTTGGTGCTCCACTAGCCCACTCCCCAGTGACTGCAGTGTGGACAGTGAAGAAATTGATGAACCTGTTGAACTGTACCAACTTCTCAATCTGTCCTATAAAGTGTGTGCCTGGTTTGTTGCTTATTTTATTTAAAATAAATAATAAAATCTTTTAGCAGTTATTTTTCTAACAGTTCATCCTTGTAGACAATTTATTATCTTGAAAAAGTAAACTTACTAGTACTTATTTATGTTAACAATATTTTACCTAAATAAAATCAACTTATATATGTGCAAAAAAATTAACGATTCCTTTTGTCATGACATCTCTTCCTACCCTGTGTGCCTGTCAAACAAAGCAACTCTCAGTATCATACAGCAGTTTTGAGAAAAATAAAGCATAAGAACCACACTAACTATTGCTAGCATCCCTGTTTTGGTCTTGTGTTCATTCAAGGGGTACACTAGCAAGATAAAGGTGGAAAACTTGGTACTACTACGTATCAATCTAGAGATGCTAAAGATGATCTGGGTGCAAACAAAAGCCTGTCAGTATCCACAGTTCAGAATTTTGGATTTGACCTTAAGGAGGTGTCTAGTCAATTGTTAGAATAAGAAAAAAGGTATCAGCTAGTAAAAAATAATCTAAGCCATAGCTATATAATTAACCAGAAGAAAATACTTTATAATAACCACAGCAGAAGATAATATAAGGATTATTCGAAATTTTTGAGTTTTTCCAGAAGTGAGGAATCTTTATTGCTATTACAAGTTCTAAAGCTATGAAAAACAAAAAAGCATAACAAGAATCAGTTCTAAAAGCAACTGGTTCTTCCACTGAGGCAAAATACATAGACATGGGTTTATTTTCTCTCCAGAACAGGACTTAAACACTTAATTCTTTTTTTTTCTTTTCTTTTTTTCTTTTATTTTTTTTGAGACAGAGTCTCACTCTGTTGCCAGGCTGGAGTGCAGTGGCGTGATCTTGTCTAACTGCAACCTCTGTCTCCTGGGTTCAAGCTATTCTCCTGCCTCAGCCTCCGGGAGTAGCTGGGACTACAGGTGCCCGCCACCACTCCCAGCTAGTTTTTGTATTTTTAGTGGAGATGGGGTTTCACCATGTTTGCTAGGATGGTCTCGATCTCTTGACCTCGGCCTCCCAAAGTGCTGGGATTACAGGCGTGAGCCACCGTGCCCAGCCTCCTAAATTATTTTAACTGTCCACATTTCCTTCAGTGGTATTGCTGATACTAATTGCAATATCATTAATATTGACCATGGTTTTTTCACTTGTAGACTTATAGCCATGACCTAGATAGTGCTATGGTGCAAAGACTGGCTCCACCCAAAGTTCCTCAATGGAGGACATTGCTGAAATCTTACTGGAAAGGGTCCTATCAACTCTGATGAATACTAATATGGCCTTTAAATGGCACAGGCTTCTGTTGAGGATACATATCCTCCATGGTAAGAAGAAATTGATCCTGTTCATCTGTTTATTGTTGTGATTTTTCCTTAGTAACTTTACACCATCAGAAACCAATTTGTGTTCCCATATGGGCAATTAATTGGAGTGTTTATCTAGATAGACTCTAGACCTAATTCCTTCCAAAGGGCCCACCTTCTAATCCTATAATATTGGGGCTTAGTATTTAACATATGATTAGGAGGGAACACAAACATTTAGTCTATAACATCTTTTTCGGAGACACATCTGTTCAAGCCCTTTGCCCATTTTTTAATCAGGTTATTTGTTTGTTTGGTTGGTTGTTTTGCTCTTGAGTTGTATGAGTTCCTTATACATTTTTGAAATTAGCCCCTTATCAAATATATGGTTTGCAAATATTTTCTTCCATTCTGCAGGTTATCTTTTCATTCTGTTTATTGTTTTCTTTGCTATGCAAAAGCTTTTTAATTTCGCTTATGCTGAGTGAAATAAGCCAGTTACAGGAAGACAAATATTGCAGAATTCCTCTTATATGAGGTAACTAAAATACTCAAGCTCATAGAAGCAGAGAATACAATAGTAGTTAACAAGAGTTGGGGGCTGGGGGAAATGGAGCGCTGTCACTAAAAGGGTATAAAGTGTTAGTTATGCTGGATGAATAAGTTCTAGAGATCTGCTATTTAACATAGTGCCTATAGTTAACAAAATAATGTTGTGCACTTCAAAATTTGTTTAGACTTTTTTTGTGGCCTTTTTTTTTCTCATCTGTCCTGGAGAAAGTTCAATGTGTGCTTGAGAAGAATGTGTATTATATCTAAAACATGCTAAAAAAATTCACCAAAACGCTATTAGAACTAATAAATGAATACAGTAAAGTTGCAGCATATAAAATCAACACACAAAAATCAGTAGTATTTCTATACACTAACAATGAACTATTCAAAAAACAAATCAAGAAAACAATCCCATTTACAATATCTATGAACAATATAAAATTCATATGGAACCACACAAAAAGCCTGAATAGCTAAGACAATCTTGAGCAAAAAGAGCAAAACTGGAGACATTACACCACTTGACTTCAAACTATATTACAAAGCTATAGTACTTAAAACAGCATGGCTGGGCACAGTGGCTCATGCTTGTAATCCCAGCACTTTGGGAGGCTGAGGCAGGTGGATCACAAGGTCAGGACTTCAAGACCAGCCTGGCCAAGATGGTGAAACCCCATCACTACTAAAAATACAAAAATTAGCTGGGCATGGTGGCAGCCACCTGTAATTCCAGCTACGCAGGTGGATGAGGCAGAGAATTGCTTGAACCCAGGAGGCGGAGGTTGCAGTGAGCCAAGATCACACCACTGCACTCCAGCCTGGGAAACAGAGCATGACTCCATCTAAAAACAATAACAACAACAACAACAAAACCCAGCATGGTACTGGCATAACAGTAGACACATCTACTGATGAAACAGTATAGAAAGCCCAGAAATGAATCTACTTATTTATGACCAAGTTATTTTCAATAAAGTTACCAAGAACACACAATGGGAAAAGGACAATCTCTTCAATTAACAGTGCTGAGAAAACTGGATATTCACATGCAGAAGAATAAAATTGGATCTTTATCTCACACCATATACAAAAATCAACTAAAAATGGATTGGAGACTTAAATATAAGACCTGAAACTGTAAAATACTAGAAGAAAACAGAGAGAACCTATACAACATTGGTCTGGACAATGATTTTTATTTTATTTGACCCCAGAATCTTAGGCAACAAAATTTAAAATTAGACAAGTGGGATTACATCACATTAAAAAGCTTCTGCACAACAAAGAAAACAACAGAATGAAGAGACAACCTATCGGCTGGGAGAAAATATTTTCAAGCAATACATCTGATGAAGGGTTAACATTCAAAATACACTAGAAACTCTCAATAGCAAAAAAAATAAAATAAAAAAATAAGATTTAAAAATAAGCAAAGAATATGAATAAACATTTCTCAAAAGAAGACATTGAAGTGGCCAACAGACATATGAAAAAATGCTTAACACTGGTGGGTGCAGTGGCTCACGCCTGTAATCCCAGCACTTTGGGAGGCTGAGGCGGGTGGATCATGAGGTCAAGAGATTGAGACTATCCTGGCTAACACAGTGAAACCCTGTCTCTACAAAAAATGCAAAAATTAGCTGGGCATGGTGGCACACGCGTGTAGTCCTAGCTACTTGGGAAGCTGAGGCAGGAGAATTACTTGGGCCCGGGAAGCGGAGGTTGCAGTGAGCCGAGATTGCACCATTGTACTCCAGCCTGGGCAACAGAGCAAGACTCTGTCTCAAAAAAAAAAAAAAAAAAAAAAAAAAAAAAAAAAAAAAAAAGCTTAACATCACTAATCATTAGGGAAATGCAAATTAAAGCCATAATGAGATATCACCTCACACCGGAAAGAATGGTTCTTATTGAAAAGGTAAAAGATAAGTGTTGGTGAGGATGTGGAGAAAAGGGAACACTTGGCCAGGTGTGGTGGCTCACGCCTGTAATCCTAGCACTTTGGGAGGCTGAGGTGGGCAGATTGCCTGAGCTCAGGAGTTCAAGACCAGCCTGGGCAACATGGTGAAACCCTGTCTCTACTAAAAAATAGAAAAAAAGAAAAAAAAATTAGCTGGGCATGGCAGTGTGTGCCTGTAGTCCCAGTTATTTGGGAGTCTGAGGCAGGAGAATAGCTTGAACCTGTGAGGCAGAAGTTGCAGTGAGCCAAGATCGCACCATTGCACTCCAGCCTGGGTGACAGAGTGAGACGCCATCTGAAAAAAAAAAAAAAAAAGGAAACACTTGTACACTGTTGGTGGGAATGTAAATTGGTATAGCCATTATAAAAAACTGTATGGAAGATCATGAAAAAATTAAAAGTAGAACTACTATATGACTCAGCAATCCCACTTCTAGGTTTACGGACTAAGGACTTAAAATCAGTGTGTTGAAGAGATATCTGCACTCTCATGTTCATTGTAATGTTACTTATAATAGCCAAGATGTTAAGCGTCCATCAACTGACAAATTTTTTAATGTGGTATATATACAGAATATATTCTGTGTAACAGAGTAACATATAGCCTTTTAAAAAAAAAGCTGCTCTGGGTCGGGTGTGGTGGCTCATGCCTGTGATCCCAGCACTTTGGGAGGCCGAAGCAGGCGGATCACGAGGTCAGGAGATTGAGACCATCCTGGCTAATACGGTGAAACCCTGTCTCTACTAAAAATACAAAAAATTAGCCAGGCGTGGTGGCGGGCGCCTGTAGTTCCAGCTACTCAGGAGCCTGAGGCAGGAGAATGGTGTGAACCCAGGAGGCGGAGGTTGCAGTGAGCCAAGATAGCGCCACTGCACTCCAGCCCAGGCAACAGTGTGAGACTCCATCTCAAAAAAAAAAAAAACAAAAAATAAACGCTGTTCTGCCATGTGTAACAACATGAATGAACCTAGAGGACAGTATGCTAAGTGAAATAAGCTAGACGTTTCTAAGTGAAATAAGACAAATACTGCATATTCTTATTTATATATGGAATCAAAAACAATCAAATTCATAGAAGCAGACAGTAGAATAGTGATTATCAGAGGCTGCAGATTGGGAGGAATAGGAAGACATCAGTCAAAGAGTATAAAGTAGCAGACAGACAGGAGGAATAAATGAAAAGTTTTTAAGGTGATGTATATATTAATTAGCTTGAGTCAACTACTCCACATTGTGTATATATATCATAACATTACTTTGTACCCTACAATTATATGCAATTATAATTTGCCAAAAAAATACAATAATTTAAAAAATCATAGGATGGAACAAGGTTCTTATATTTATGGGAGGATCAGGATAAATCTTCAAATACCTTCTAGAGGTATAGTTGAGGTGAGATATGTACTGAAAGCAAAAATGGAGGCTGGGAACTAAACACCAGGCATTTCCTGTGCATGTGTCTATTCAACAATCATGCCAATCGACATTTCTTTCACTGCCTCCCACCCAAATGCAGAGAGTGCATCTGTATTGTGACCAAACAGAGAAGAGGTTGTAAAAAGTAGGGCTACCCTGACATTTATTCACCAATATCCATGAATAAATAAATATGTACACATGAATTTATAGATATATACATCCATACTTACATAAACAATTTTAAAAGTGTCCATTTTTACTTCAAGAGAACTAAGGATACTTTTGTAGACATTAGGGCAGATAAAAGATGGTAATAAAGAAAAGGGAAATGAGAAGGAAACATTTCTGTAAGTGCAAGTGTTGGGGAGAAGGAGTGGGAGCTGGGGGGAAGCTGAGAATTGTATTTTGTGACAAAGAGCATGGTTCATGGACAGTAGCACATGTGAGTCATGGAAGGACAATAAGATAGGGAGAATCAGCCAAGATGGCGCTCCAGCCAGGGTTACCAGTGTCTAGACAGAAAGCAAAGTAATAGCTCAGCAGCCGCATTGAATGGGAACAGTGAATAGTGTGAAAATGAGAAAATATTGGGGCAAGGCCACTGATTCCCACAGGATGCTCTAGTAAAGCTCTTGACTAGGCCTCCAAATTAAACATATGGCTGAGGCTAGCCCCTTCTCACTCAATGGACTCCAGTATTTGGTGAGGAAATGAGGAAAAGAGAGGTCCCGAAGCAAGTAATTGTATGAAATATCAGGATCCAGTTTTGACAAGACTGTTTGTGGATATACCAGAAGAGCAGGAGAGAGTTCCAGAAGACCCAAACATCCAGCATCCAGAAGGTCTTTTGAAACTGGTAATTAAATTATGAAGTGAGGACTGATGGGCATCATTGAGAACATGATTTGGGAGCCGTTTAACCCCTTGCTCACTAGTCAGTTCATCCTCTTGTTTTCTACAAAAATGTAGTTATCTGCTTCTGCATAGGAGAAGTTGTTGTGGGAGCCACACAGAGCAGTAACAGTCAGCGGTAATCTGGTGAAAACAATTTTGTAGAAGGGATTGTCCCTCCTTCACATATTTCCATATATAAATCCTCACAGTCAGAAAAATATTCTTAATATCTATCTCGTATCTTTGCCGCACTTTGAATTCGGTAAATTTTAACTGAGGATCCACCATATGCACGTGTGCATACGCATGCAATCTAGGTGGGGATATTCAATCACAAAAAGTGTGTTCAGTGCTTCCTTTGTGCAAAAGATTCTTCTAATGCTGGGGATACAAAGATTCACATGAATTAGATCCTACTTTTAAGTAGATCCTACACAGACAAAAGAGCGCATAGTAGTAACAGACATATAAAATTCATATAAAAATGTCACAAGATCTACAACAGACATATCTATAAAAAACAATCAAACACAATTTGGTGTTATTAATTTTTAAGACAAAAATTTTAAAACAAAAATGGTTAAAATTAAGTAGAAACTTATATTTACAACAAGAAGGAAGCATTTGTATAGATGTAAGTTCCAGAGGAAGTGAAACTCAGAACACAGAGGAAGGGTTACGTTTCAGGTTGGCTAGAGACTCGCTGGGGAACAGGAACTATCATGAATAACGTGTGTGCAGGAAGCAGGAGGAGTCAGGAAACGGAAATAGAGATAGAGGGGAGTCTGTTAGACTAGAATTGAAAGGCTCCCTTAAATAATGCTGGGAGATCAGAGTGGATGTGCAGAGCTGAAGTTCTAAGAAAGGCATTGAAAATTTGGCAAAGATGTTACATCTTTTAGAAAGATGTGGATGGACGCAGGAAAAAATATCAAGCAGTAAAACTTTTACAATCCAAGGTTAGTTATGAGGGATTGGACACAGAGATCAGTGTGGTGACAACAGAAATGGATGATGGGAATACCATGCTCCTTTTGCATTTCCAGATGTGCATTAGAATTGGTATTTGATGAATAAGGGAGGAACGGAAGGTCTTTTAGAAGGAATATATTTTCTTTCCTTTTGTAGGTAACACCCAAAGGGATCAATCTTCCTATCCATCTGTGTGTTGGTTCTTTCTTTCTGGTTGAGACATTTTGTAGAAAAAAGAGAGAAATTTACTGGAAATCCCCATCCCTTCACAAACAGTTGTTGCTGTTTTTTTCTATAACCAATAGGGATAAAGACTGAAGCAACATCACTTATCTCCGGCAGATACATCTGACCAGAAGGTCTTATATAAAGTCTTGGAGAGAAGGTGCAGGAGAACAGGATGACTAAATTAGGTGTTGATAAGAAAGGCTGATAACTTCCTTTGTGGAATAAATTAGGACATAAGTAGTTAGCAAATAAAGAATATTTGCAGAGTAAAGCAAAATGTGCAGTGAGGATTGGAGGAGCTGGGCATTTAGAGTGATAGAGACATAATGCCTGGTTTTCCATTCCTGTCCCTGGGTAGTATTAAAAGCACAAATAAAAAGCTATCCTGCTGCTATCTGCCTGCTATTCTTGTTATACAAGAGATGGAGACTGTCAGAGAGATCTATTATGCCAACTCTGATTGCCATAGGTTTATGCACAGACAAATGAAGGGAAAATAAAATGATGAGTTATTGTTTATTTTACACCAGGCACTGAATTTTCTACTTCCAGACACTTTGTTTCATTTGATTCTCATCATAACCCTGCAGTGGATGTATGTATCACACTATGTTTTCACTTAACTGCTATATCCCCAACACATTCAATAATGTCCATCACTTATAGTATTTAATAAATATTGATAATGACTGGGTGTGGTGGTTCACACCTGTAATCCCAACACTTTGGAAGGCTGAAGCAGGCAGATCACAAGGTCAGGAGTTCGAGACCAGCCTGACCAATATGGTGAAACCCCGTCTCTACTAAAAATACAAAAATTAGCTAGGCGTGGTGGCGGGCACCTGTAGTCCCAGCTACTCAGGAGGCTGAGGCAGCAGAATCCCTTGAACCCGGGAGGTGGAGGTTGCAGCGAGCTGAGATTGCACCACTGCACTCCAGCCTGGGCAACAGAGCAAGACTCTGTCTCAAATAAATACAAATAAATAAATAAATATTTATTTATTACTGGGATATGATTAGGAAACCAAATGTGTTACATTTTTAACATTGTATAGTGACATAGAACACACATATAGTAAGACATGTAAAGCATAAATGTACAACTTAATCAATCATTACAGTGCCAACATCCATGAACCCACCACCCAAATCAAGAAACAGCATGAGGCCAGCACCAGAAGCTCTCCCCTGCTTCCTCCTGTCTACATTGCTCTCCCTTCCCATCAAGACAACTCACCATCAGACTTCCATAGCAATCCCTTCATTGCTTTTCAATACGCCTTCAAAATCTAATATTTATTCCTAAACATGCTTAGTAACATTATACAAATTAAACTATACAGTATGTTCTCTTTTGTGCCTATTTTGTGATCTATTTCGTGATTGTCAATTTAGTGACCCGGAAAGAATCAGCCTGTCAATAAATGCTGCTGGATCAGTTGTATATCCTTACTGAAAAAAAAAGAAAGAAAGAAATTTGACACCTATCTCACTTTATACACAAAATTAATTCCAGTAGAAAACATATCTATCTATAAAAATCAATACAATAAAACTTCTAGAAGACGATATTAGAGAATATCTTCCTGACCTTGAAGTAGAAAAAGATTTTTAAAATAGAATCCAAAACTCAGAATCATAAGAAAAAGGTTCATCAGTGGTCACAAATATAATGTATCTAAAACAGGGACAGTAAGAAATTACTGGGCATAACTAGCAGGTGCCATGGGATGTGCCTGGAAAGCTTCTCATGACGACCTACCATGAGCCTATCACACTCGTGCCAGGAGCCTCTCACCAGGGGCTTCAGTGTTTGTGGTTAGGAAAACAGAAATAAGAACAACAGCGGAATGCACCCTTAAGTACTTTGGAAGTCACAGAAGGGAAAAGGGCAGGAAAATCGGAAACATCGGCACACATGTTAATGAATGTTTGTTGTAGTTAAATTGAAGTTGAAGGAGAAGATGGAGTGAAGGACACTGGAAGCGGGGGCTCCAGGAATAGTCCTGTGATTCGGCTGGTATTTCTTGTATATAGTTCCAGTTCTTGTCAAACTTTTTGGTCACTAAACTGTTCCTTTCTATATGTTAAGGCAAGTTTCACCTCCTTTCTGACTTTAGAATAAGTTGGTAGAGGTCTTCACAGAGTGACAAACACCCATTGTCTTCTTTAGGAAGGCGATTAACTAAAACATGCACATACTTCCATAAGAAGCACAGAGTATAACTGATTATAACTGATGATATTCAAAGAGCAAATGCTTATTGAACGTCTCCCATGTTTCAAAGAGTGCGGTAGGAGCTAAGGTTCCAGGGTGAAGATCTCATGAAGATCAATATATACCAGGAAAAAAAGACATATACAGCATACACTCCATACACCAGGAACTTTCTGCACTATTCTCTCCTCAGTTCCTAGAAAAATACCGGGTTCAAAATAGTTATTAATAGTTGTTGAATTAATAAACAATATATTAAGTATAAATATAAACATTTATAAATTGCAATGAAAATACAAATGGGGGTTGGGGGTGGTGGCTCACACCTATAATCCTAGCACTTTAGGAGGCCAAGGCAGGCGGATTGCCTGAGCTCAGGAGTTCAAGACCACCCTGGGCAACATGGTGAAATCCCATCTCTACTAAAAATACAAAAAATTAGCCAGGCGTGGTGGCGCACGCCTGAAATCCCAGCTACTTGGGAGGCTGAGGCATAAGAATCGCTTGAACCTAAGAGGCAGAGGTTGTTGTGAACTGAGATCGCGCCATTGCACTCCAGCCTGGGCAACAGAGTGAGGCTATCTTTGAAAAATAAAAATAAAAAAAAAGAAAGAGAGAGAGAGAGAGAAAGAAAGGAAAGAAAGAAAGAGAAAGAAAGAAAGAAAGAAAAAAGAAAGAAGGAAAGAAAGAAAGAGTGGGTATAATTTAAAAGTAACAAAATTCAAGAATAGCAGATAAAGGATATATTCATACAGACTGGAGTATTTGGAGAAAACTTGAAAATATAGTTCGTTTGCAGAAGTAAGACTTGAAGCAGAGAAGAGGAGGAAATGATTCCGAGGAACAGCAGTGGGAAACGAACCATCATGAACTGCATGAGTGAGAGCAGTACTGGCAGCGGGGGTGGGACAGGGAGTGGGTTGATTTAGGGAAAAGCCCAGATTGACTGGAGTGAACATGTAGATTAAAGAATAGTATAGGATAAGAGAAGATGCACAGAGAGGACCTGTTTTTATGAGAGGCCTTAGAAGCTGAGCAGTCACTTCTTAGGAAGGTGATGAACTGAAGTGTGCAAATGTAAAACAGCAAAATCATCTGTTGGTAAGGCAAGTGTCATATAGGTACAGGAGGAGCATCAAGGCTGGGGAGGTGACAGTGAGACTAGGGTACTGGTTTTACTGAGTGCCTTGTGTCCTTCCAAACTTGTGCAAATTATTACTATCTAATGGGTAGAAAGAGAAAATGTGGAATTTTTTTAGACCTCTTTTCTTCTTTCAGAGATAGCATCCAAAGACTGAGTTCTCAAACCCCCAGGTTGGTTATCTATCCTGGTTCCCAGACTCTGTGCTTTAAGATGAAGCAGGTCAGTTTTCTGGACAAAGGGACTTTATAAAAATCTCCATTACTTATCAGTTTTCTTCCTATGCAACCACTGAGTGAAGTAACATCATTTGTCTCCAGCAAATAACACTACTTCAATAGTCCTAGCATTAGTCTGGTTTCGAGACCCTGTGAAAACGTGGAGTAGGGGCAAATTATTAGTTATGTGGTGCGAGAAAGATATAATACCTGAAATTTGTCGAAAGAAACAGGTGATAGCTGTGTGGATTGCCAAGAACTCTCCCCTTTTCAAGTAAGATCCAGCATGCTTAATGAATGTAGAGCGTGAATCAGGATACTTGTTCTTTTTCAGACATAGGTGGAAAGTCCCTGCCCAGGACTAAATGAAAAGAAAATTGCTTTAATGCTAGGATCTCATCACTGGTAGAAAACTAAAATCTGTGGTAGGGACAAAATTGAAAGGAAAGAAGAAACAGATTGATTAAGGGTCATCTCCCCACCTGCTGGTTATAAGAACATGCAGGGACAATGATGGAAAAGAGAATCAATGGTTCCAGGGTCTGGTTAGCTATTTTTCAATTATCTCATTTAATCTTTATAACAACTCTGAAAATAATCTTTTGTACCCCTTTTGGAGGTGATGGTAGAAACATGGGAATTACACCCTGACTTGAAAAAGATAACATTTATTCCTTTGGGGGAACATTAAAAAGTTAATACTGCTGCATTTGTGCAAATCATTCTTCAAGGTTATGCATTATTAGGATAAATAGGATCTGCAGATCTTGTTTCCTAGGAGTTCAAAGCCAACATAAACTTGCTATAATACACTGCAACAAGCGCTACAATTGATTGGTTTATAAAATACAATAAGAGCACAAATTTGTGGGTTTTCAAACATGAGCCAAATTGTTAAAATGGTTTACACACTGACCGGGCGCAGTAGCTCACGACTGTAATCTCGGCACTTTGGGAGGCAGAGACAGGTAGATCACCTGAGGTCAGGAGTTTGTGACCTGCCTGGCCAACATGGCGAAACCCAGTCTCTACTAAAAATACAAAAATTAGCTGGGTGTGGTGGCACACACCTGTAGTCCCAGCTACTTGGGAGGCTAAGGCAGGAGGTTTGCTTGAGCCCGGGAGGCGGAGGTTGCAGTGGGCCGAGATCTCGCCACTGCACTCCAGCCTGGGTGACAGCGAGACTTCGTCTCAAAAATAATAATAATAATAAAATGTTTTACACACCTACATGAACCTTAAAAATTAAAGATTGGAGCTCTCTATGTGCATGAGATAGTAACACTCATTAAAAAGGGCAAGTTTGGTTAATTAAGACAGTAGAAGGGGTAGAGAAAATATAATGAAACGATATGTAAGGGAAACGAAGGATGAAAGATGCAGGCCGGGAGAGGAGTACTGTCTGATGGGAGTGAAGATTCTTCCTTCAGGAATGGAAGGGGATGCACAGAGTGAAGCCACCCAACAAAAACAAGACTTGTATAGCTACAGATGGAAGGGAAATCAACCAGGAAATTATTTTGGAAATCCCAGTGTAGTTACAAGACTAGGAAGTAATGGTTAGAATGAAGAGGTTGGATTTACTGAGCACTAATATTCTCATAATCATGCTAGGAAATATCACTTGATAAAGAGAGAAAGATGAGTCGTTTTAGAAGGAATACATCTCTCTTTTCAGAGGCAGTACCCACAGACAGTTCTCAAACCCAGAATCTGCCTCATCAGTCTCAGTTCAGCTTACTTCTTTTTGGGGAAGGCATTCCAGCTTCTTGCACTAGGCATTTCAAGAAAGAAAAGCATTCCTGGAAATCCCCAACCTGTCACAGGCATGTTTCTTCAACCAATAGGAATAGAGAATGAGGCAGCATCACTTGTCTCCAGCAGATATGTCTGCTAAGAAGGTCTGATCTGATCTCATGTCTTGGGGAGGAGGCAGGGAAGGAGCAGGATGACTCATAAGTAGTGAGAAGAATGGCTACGATGTAGTTTCACGGAAAGAAATAAGATACTCCATGTGGAGAGACAAGATACCATATTTTGTAGTTGTGAAGCAGAGTAAAGACTGAGACTCTTAGTATTTAGTGTTGGTGGGGGAGAAGAGGTTACCTGATATTTTTCATGCCTCTGTGGGAAGTCCCTGGTGAGTTTTAAAAGGGAAGGGCATGACTATGACGCTGGATTCTCTCTGCTAGTGATGCATGAGCACCTGTGGTGAACGAGATGGAAATGGTGAAGAAGCCCATGACCCCACCTGCTGATTGTCATAGGACAATTTGAGGGAAAGTCACATTATTATGTACTGATTATTTTGTTCTAGCAAAGTAGTACTTCTGGGTGTATTATCTCAATTAATCATTATTTTTGTTAACTGCTGAATGTTTAGTTCCCAGCACTCAATAGATATTTGTAAAATTAACAAATATATAAGTAGGTTACTAAGAATTAGCAATTTTAAGAGATCACTAAGAATTAGTGATTTTAAAGAGTGATTTTAAGAAATTGTAGTGATTTAAGAGATAATTATGAGGATTAAAATCCCGTTCTGCCTAAACTCAAAGCCCAGGAATTAAAATTATTAGTTTATTTGAGATCAGCAGGGTATCTAAAGTAAAATTCCAATACCCCTCTCATAAAAAGTCATATTTTACTTTATCAGAGCTCCTTGGGGCTCAGTTAGTGAATATAGTTACATAGTAGAATGGGAATAAAAACACGGTATTCATGGTCATGAGGTCAGAATTCTGGCACCCAACCCGCATCTTGGTCAAGTAATTTTCTCTTTTGAGTGTCTGTTTCTTCATCACTAAAATTAAAGGGTTGAATTGCATAATCTCTCAGGTTAATACTTAACTCATTCCTGGACCATGATAAATACTAAAAAACATTTCATTTTTATTTCACTGTCATTAGTCATTTCAGTAACTGAAAATACAGTTCACCCTGTAAACCAAAAATAAAATTTAAGCCCTTCAACCAACTAAATGGGCCCTTCTGCTTGGCCAAGGACATTTTAAAGTAATCTTGAAACACTAGTTCAGGTCACAATGGGAAGGGGAGGTTGGACTTGCATCACTATACCTTCCTCCCTCTAGAATCAAGGCACATCTGACCCTCATTAACACTAGAACAAAGACCTTAAGACTGACCAGACTCTTTGTAGCAATAAGATACCAACGTGACAGATAGCATGCCCTGAAAGAAATCAAAGTATTTTATCACAAAATATATTTATTTGACATATTTTGAAATGGCCCTGCAAAGCTGTCTCTTGTGGGGAAAATCTACATTCTGTAGAAAATCTTCTTTCCTTTCCAGGTCTTTCCCTTGATCCAGGAGAGAATTATCTAAGCATCTGGCACTTTCTTTTTTTTTTCTTTTCTTTTTTTTTTTTTTTTTTGCGACAGAGTCTCACTCTGTCACCCAGGCTGGAGTGCAGTGGCTCAATCTCGGCTCACTGCAACCTCTGCTGCCTCCTGTGTTCTAAACAATTCTCCTGCCTCAGCCTCCCTAGTAGCTGGAATTACAGGCGCTCAACACCATGCCCGGCTAATTTTGTATTTTTAGTAGAGATGGGGTTTCACCTTGTTGGCCAGGCTGGTCTTGAACTCCTGACCTCAGGTGATCCACTGCCTCGGCCTCCCAAAGTGTTGGGATTACAGGCGTAAGCCACCACGCCTGGCCAATCTGGCACCTTTTTAAGTTTGATAAGAAACATTTACAATCTAGTCTGTCTGAAGCCTGCTACTTGGAGGCTTCATCTGCATGGTAAATAACAACCTTAGTCTCCACAACCTCTTATCTTAACCTAGACACTTCTTTCTATTGAATCCACATCTTTAGATAAATTCTCAAACAATTGCCAACCAGAAAATCTTTGAATCCACCTGTGACCTGGAAGCCCCTACTTCAAGTTGTCTCCTTTCTGGACCAAACCAATGTACATCTTACATGTATTGATTGATGTCTTATGTCTCCCTAAAATGTATAAAACCAAGCTGTAGCCCAACCACCTTGGGCACATGTTCTCAGGATCTTCTAGAACTGTGCCAGAGGCCACTGGTCACTCATATTTGGCTCAAAATAAATCTCTTCAAATATTTTACAGAGTTTGACTCTTTTTGTCAACAACTTAATGCGGGGGTTAAGGACACCAATGCCCAACACAGTCAAAAATCTTCATATAACTTTTGACTCCCTAAAGACTACCAATAGCCTACTGTTGACCAGAGGTTTTACCAATAACATAAACAGTCTAGTCATACATATTTGTATGTTATATTTATTATATACTATATTCTTATAATAAAATGAGCTAGCAAAAAGGAAATATTAAGAAAATAATAAATAAAATAAAATAAATTTACAGTACTGTACTGTGTTTATCGATACTGTAAGTTTACATGAGCTGGTTTACAAGACAAACCATGTGTCTAAAATTGTGAAGAACCGCAGCTGCAGACCTCACTCTATGGTATATATCAAAGAATTCAACTTTTTCCTGTAATGCCAGGACTTTTCTCTGCTCCTTGGGAGCACTTCAGCATCACTAGTGGCACTTTGTATAGATCCCATGATGTTATTCAAGGTTTACAACATAACGCTAAACATGAAAAATATACGAGAACCATAAGAGATCACTTTTTACTGCAATACACAATTTATGATGATTAGCATCAGGAGGCATTTTATGCACATACTTGCAGCACTCGGACTTACCACAGCAGCAACAGAAGGTGGCTATGAAGTTATCACAGTAATGTCCTATGTATTATAGTTATTCAATGCAGTTGTGACTCAATACTGTATCTTTATGTTTGTTTACATGTCTCTCCACTGTGAATGGCATTATGTATGGTCTGTAAGTGCATAACTTTTCATAAGTTTTAATTTTTTATAACAGATTTGTGCATATTTTATGGTAGTAAATTATAAAAACATACTAGTATCTACATATGTTTTATGAGTTCATGACATACCTAACTTTAAGAAAGTTTTCAATATTTCTAGGCTACATGATTCATCTGTGGGTTTTTTTTGCAAACTGTCATATATCTCCAAAAAATTTCAAATATATTTATTTTTAAAAATCAACCCATAAGAGGACCCATGCAATTCAAACCTGTGTTGTTCAAAAGTGAGCTGTAATTACAAAAAGGAGAAAATAATTATCTGAAACTGATTTCAACAAAAATAAAGATAAAATATTTTAATTATCCTAAAGAAAAATAATTCCCCAATATGACTAAACAATGTTAACTAATAAAAACAGTCCTTTGTGGATTCTTTTTCAAGTACTCCTTAGAGGCAAGACAAGAACATTATTTGTTGAAACCATTTTGGGAGTAATTATGCTTAGTGAAATTCAATTAGCCAGTACATTGATAGTACCATTTGCACTTAACATAGAATTATGGAATGGGATCTTTACTCTTTGACTAAGAAATATAAGTCTCACAAATTAGGCAAGAAACATTGTAGCTTAGTTTTTCATCATTATATACTCATGAACTTTCCAACTCACTTCCTGAAAAACTGGCCACATAGCTACAATTATTTGTCACCCCCTTGGTAACTCCATGTGGATACTCTGCTGAAAGCCTGGCATGGTCCCCGTGCTTCCAGTGCACAACTTCCTAATATTCTGTGCTTGCCAATTCCTAAGTAAGGGTGAAAAAGTTGAAACTCCTTGTCTTTTGTATGAAGCAGTAGTTGGAAAAGTGTGTCACACCTCATGTAGGAAGCTATAGACCTAAGTAGGGTTTATTGAGATGTCCTATAGATCTCCCTAGAATATAGAAATTCCTGTCAAGGGAGAAGAGGAATAACCAAGTGATCTGCCATTTTCATTGTTGGAAAAAAATATCAGTATTCATGTAAAAGAGGTCTACTTTATGAGTTAAGTCTTGGTCCAAAAGGAAACCTCCATATACATGCAATGTAAGTAGGGATTGGTCAATACTTTCTCGGGTGAATTCTCAAGTACAAGAGAATATTTTAACTGCAACACTGCCTCATTGGTGTCAATACCCAGCTATCTTTCAGCGGGGCTACTGGTTGTTGGAGCAGGTACAGACTTCCAAAATCCAAGTGAAGAAAAAGTACAGTGAGTCATATTCTTTTTTATTTAAAAAAATAAAAATTAACACACTACTTTTCTTATAATACTAGTAACACCTGCCCAATAAGGAAAGATTAGAAGTCTACAAAATTAATAGAGACAAATTAATCTGTCATTTCTTCATTGTGAGATAATCACTATGGGATCCACTCTCCAATGCAACTGATTTTTAAAAAATTAAAGCCTCTGAAAAGCTTCTTAAGGACAAACAGCAATAATGAGACATCTGTTCAAGAAAATCTCTGAAAATTGGCAAGAAAAGCAAGAGTCTGTGGTATTTGAACCAAGACTATACCCTCCCTCTCTCCTGCATGCCAGCTCAGTGAGGTCAGTAAGGCATAGACTCCACTCTAGATTGCTACAGCCCAGAGCACAGGCCTCCCTCTCCCCACAGCTCCATATCAGAGCGCTTTATTTCTAGGAAGGGCAGGAATTCAGAATCCCTCATCCTGTCCCCAGCTACCTGTTGCTGAGACTATGTCCGAGACAAGTGCAGTTGAGAAGTGAGAGGACCGTTCTTCTGCCCAATTCCCACTTGTGGAATGGAGAGTCTGCCTTGGGTGTGGTATGCTAAGACTACTGGGGCCCTAATAACCCTTTACCTGGCTCATGAGGGAATGGCTCCACTGCAGGAGAGGCAAACCAATAGGACAGCAGGCTGCTGGCCACACCCTCCACTTAGTGCTCAGCTCCTAGAATTGAGGAGTCACTCCGAGAGAAGCTTGCCACAGTTACACCCAGCTCCAGAGCCCTGACTTAGAGAGTTTGCCTGGGAGGAAAGGCAATATATTAGGAATATATTTTAGGAACATAGAATATATTTTATATCTATTCTATATAAAATGGAATAGATATCCTAATGTATTCCCAAAGGAAGTAACTTCATGTGGAACAGAGCATGGAGAAGTTTAAACCTAAGGGCACTCTCAATTACAGTAGAGTTGTGGTGAAAAGCAGTTGGGAGATTTGTGCATCTAATGCAGGTACAGCTTAGACTGTAGGCTGGTTAGTTTACAGAAGAGAACTAGAGAATAAAATAGGTGGGAAGAGCCCTCCCAAAGTAAAACAAATATCAAACACTGACCTCAGAAACTATTTCATAGAAGGACTCACTATTTTATTCGATTACTTTGTAGAGGAATTTTGCCCCAGGGCATTATTGAAAAGAGTGGTAATTAATGGACTTCAGTGGCTGGGTAGGTGAGGGAAAGAATGAAAAAGAGTCCTACAGGACCACTGTCATTCCAGGGTAACCCTGGATATACTCAAAGCTGGGCCTCCTTGAGGTAACATCAAAAGCTTAACACTGTGGGATGAGGAGATGAAGACAGACTTTATTAAAATAATCCAGACAATCATTGTTAATCACATAAACAAACAAGCAAATAAGAATAACAAGCAAAATGTGGGGGTAGTACCCAGAGTTTCTATAATATAGTTCCTAAAATGTTCATTTTTCAACAAAAATTATGAGCTACGCAAAGAAACAAAAAAGTGTGACCAATACACCAGAAAAATAGAAGGCAGAAGAAATTGCTTGAGAGAACAAATTTAACACAAAAATATTTAAAGTAGCTACTATACATATGTTTAAATATATTCAGTATTTTCATCAGGATTCTCCAGAGAAACAGAGACAAAAAGATATGTATGATGATTGACTCGCTCAATTATGGATGCCAAGAAGTGCCACAATATGCCATCTGCAAGTAGGAGACCCAGGAAAGCAGGTGGTGTAATTCAGTGAGAGTCAGAAGGGTTGAGGATCAAGGGAGCCAATGGTACAACTCCCAGTCTGAGGCCAAAGGCCTGAGAACCAGGACATGGGCTGCAGTCATGGCAGGAGGAGGGGAAGAAGGAGCTCTGGTGTCCAGGGGTAGAAGTAGATGTCCCAGCTCAAAGAGAAAGAGAATTCACCCTTCCTCCACCTTTTTGTTCCATTTGGGTCCTCAATGGACTGAATGATGCCCACCCATATTAGTGAGGGATATCTTCTTTATTCAGTCTTCTGATTCAAATACTAAAATATTCTGGAAACACCCTCACAGTCACACTCAGAAACAATGTTTTACCAGCTATCTGGGCATCTCTCAGCCAACCCAAGTTGACACATAACATTATCCATTACATTCATAGACCTAAAGGAAAGGATGGCTAAAGAAGTGAAGGAAGGTGTGATGGCAATGTTTCATCAGAGAGAATAACAATAAGAGGAGGTGCAGCTGGGCTTCCTGGGTCGAGTAGGGGCTCAGAAAGCTGTGAAACTCACTCATTTCCTGCATCAGGACTTACTTCAGTCCTGGATGAATAACACTGAAGCTATATACTTACAATATTCCTAACACCCGGATTTGTATATGTGTTTTCTTCCCCAAGAAAGCTATAAACAGCGAAAATTTTGCTGTAAGTTTCCCTGTGTCTTTCTCTCCCTCTCTCCCTTTCCCCTCCCCAAAACTAAAGATGAAAGGAATGTTAACTGTCCGTTTTTCTGTGACCAGCAAACCTTATCTAACTTCCCAATTCCAGTTCCTTGTGAACATACTTTATAAAGTCCTGGTAAGATCCTGTCTCTTTTGCTATGCCTCTACAAGGTCATAAAGTAAATAAAACCTAGGTTGCAATTCCGGTTTTCCTCAAGATCTAAGACATGGAACAAAATAATTTACTGCCTTTGTTTCTCACTCTGGTAACATCTTCCCACCGCATGTATTTCCCCCCTTAAAGAGTTTAAAAGGCAATTACCCAAAACCAGCAGTGGCTACCCGTTCGAGACCCCTTCCACACTGTGGAAGCTTTGTACTTTCACTCTGCTCAATAAAGCCTACAGCTTTTTCTCTCTATTGGTCCGTGTCTCTATCACTCGCGGCAGGCAGCCGCCACACCAATTCTTTGGCGTGGCTAAGGCAAGAACCTTTGGCATTACAACAACAGCGATAGTAGTTGTCTTAGTCCATTCAGCTGCTATAACAAAATGCCTTAGACTAGGTAATTTATAAACAACAGAAATGTATTCCTCTCAGTTCTGGAGGCTAGGAAATCCAAGATCGAAGAACAAACAGATTCAGTGTTTGGCAAGGGCTTACTGTCTGTTTCCCAGACAGTGCCTTCCACCTGTGTTTTCCTTTTTTTTTTTTTTTATTATTATACTTTAAGTTTTAGGGTACGTATGCACAATGTGCAGGTTAGTTACATATGTATACATATGCCGTGTTGGTGTGCTGCACCCAGTAACTCGTCATTTAACATTAGGTATATCTCCAAATGCTATCCCTCCCCCCTCACCCCACCCCACAACAGTCCCCTGTGTGTGATGTTCCCCTTCCTGTGTCCATGTGTTCTCATTGTTCAATTCCCACCTATGAGTGACAACATGCGGTGTTTGGTTTTTTGTGCTTGCGATAGTTTGCTGAGAATGATGGTTTCCAGCTTCATCCATGTCCCTACAAAGGGCATGAACTCATCATTTTTCTGTTTTCATACAGTGGAAGTGGTGAATAAGCTCCCTCACCTTCTTTTACAAGAGTACTAATTCCATTAATGAGGACTCTACCCTCATAACCTAATCACCTCCCAAAGACCCCACCTCTTAATACCACACACTAGAAAATGGGAATTGAGCTTCAAAATATAAATCTGGGGGCAGGGGACACAAATATTTAGACAATAGTATAATAAAAAGGAACCAAATAGAAATTATGGAGTTGAAAAGTACAATAATTGAAATAAAAATTCACTAGAGAGGCTTAACCATAGGTTTGACCTAGCAGAAGAAAGAAATGTAGAATAAAGTTTAAACTATATTTCAAAAAAAGATTTTGGTAGGTCTATGCCATGCTTCTTCCTCATCATCTCTGCCTTTTAAAATCCAAAGACATTTTCAAAGTATATTTAATTGTAACATTTCCCTTGAAAGTACGCATTATTCTCCAAATGTACATTATTTTTTTTCTAAGAAACCACCTACTACTTAGCATTATAAATAGGTGCTTCTTTTGTGTTCCATTAGACCATAAGCCCCTTAAGTTTAAGCCTGTTTTCCACAAGTCTGCATCTCCCACCATGCCTAGAAAATGGCCTTGATTCAAAAAATATTTCTTGTGTCTTTAAACAAATTGAGTTGAATTCAACACAGAGGGGCGTTTCTCTACAACTCTACACTGACCCTACATTCTCTAGTGTTTTCATATTACACTTACCTCCAACACATTTATTTGTTCCTGGTCTCGCTCTTCTTCAGTCCTAAGTTACAACTAACAAATGAATTATATAAAAACAATAACTGGCCAGGCGTGGTGGCTCACAACTGTAATCCCAGTACTTTGGAAGGCCGAGGTGGGTGGATCATAATGTCAGGAGATTGAGACCATCCTGGCTAACACAGTGAAACCCTGTCTTTACTAAACATACAAAAAATTAGCCAGGCGTGGTGGCGGGCGCCTGCAGTCCCAGCTACTCGGGAGGCTGAGGCAGGATAATGGCATGAACCTGGGAGGTGGAGCTTGCAGTGAGCCGAGATCGCGCCACTGCACTCCAGCCTGGGTGACAGAGCAAGACTCCATCTCAAAAAACAAACAAACGAACAAACAAAAATAACCACTGCTTCCTATATTACCTCATTCTCATGTGTGCTTTTTCAGGTACAAATTTCTAGAGATTAATTCAAACACAAGGAATTGCATCTGGAAATTTAGAAGCTGGAATTCTCTAATGATAGAGACTGCCTCTTAATTCTTGTCTGGCCAAGACTAGCATTGTCTTCAGTCAAGATGCAAATGTATACTTCCTCGCCCGTTTGTCGATAAGCTCAATCACATGTAGATAAGTCAACTTATCACGTAATATAAATGGTTGCAAAAGAAGGGTACCAGGGCTTTGGAATTAGGCAGAACTTAGTTTAAATTTTACTCTGCTATATCCTGGATGTCTGACTTTGGGCAATTTTAATGGTCTCTCTGAATCTCAACATTTTAACCTACACAATATGTTAAGCAAGTCTTATATGAATAAATAATTGAACAACATTAAAATTAAAGTTAGGTATACTATCTATAAATCTAACAAGTTATAGAGATCTGTTACATCAGGGTTTTACACTGAACTAAATGAAATTGATCAAAATTCTTTTTGATCAAAAACAGATGATTGTTGGTAATTTTAGGTAGTTTAATGTAATTTAACACTTCATTAAAAGACATTAGAGACTGGGCATGGTGGCTTATGCCTGTAATCCCAGCACTTCGGGAGGCCAAGGCGGTGGATCACTTGAGGCCAGGAGTTCAAGACCAGCCTGGCCAACATAGTGAGACCTTGTCTCTACTAAAATTACAAAAATTAGCTGGGCATGATGGTGTGAGCCTGTAATCCCAGCTACTCAGGTGAGTGAGACACAAGACTTGCTGGAACCTGGGAGTTGGAGGTTGCAGTGAGTCCAGATCGTGCCACTGTACTCCAGCCTCCAGGCAGTGTGAGATTCTGTCAAAAAAAAAAAAAAAAGACATTAGAGATACCTATGTAAATGGAAAGATATGCTATATTCACAAATAAAATATCCAAAATATAAACACAATTTTTCTCTGAGTTAATCTACAGAACCAATGCAGTTCTACTTAAAATCCCAACATAATATTGTGGAATCACTATGCTGATTGTAAATAATTATAGAAGAGCAATTGTTTAAGACTAGCCTATAAGTTAGTTACACATGCAAATAAACAGTTTGGTTTCTTTACTAGTTATACATAGAAAGAAACAGGTTGGTAAGATTTTGCCCAGCTAGTCCTCAATTTATTATCAGACTTAAGTATAAATAGGAGAGTTGTACTGATGCATGGATAGACCTATAGACAAACGAACAGAAACAGCAGGCCCAGAACCAACTCACTCATATGTAAAATCATATTTATGTTGGAGTTGGCATTGGAATTCGCTTATGAAATAGTGCAGTAAGTCATCCTGAGAGAATTTGTTATCCAGACGGAAAACTCAGTGTTGGATTCATACAACATAGTATCCACAAAAATCAATTCAATTCAGGCTAATCAAATGTGAACAGGAACCACAGTGAACTATCACCTTATCCCAGTTGGAATGCCTACTATCAAAAAGGCAAAAAAAAAAAAATTGCTGGTAAGGAGGAGGGTAAAAGGGAACTTTTATACACCATTAGTAGAAATGTAAATTAGTACAGCCATTATGGAAAACTGTATGGAGGTTTCTCAAAAAACTAAAAATAGAGCTGTCATATCATCCAGCAATCCCATTACTGACTATTTAGCCAAAGGAAAGGTAATTTTTAAATTTTTAAAATAGAAAATTTAGAAGATTATTTTATGAACTGAAGTAGGGAAGTATTTCTTAACAGGGATGAAATAGCAAAAAAAATTTTTAATTTTTAATAAATATACTTTAATACATATTTTTAAAAACTTAATCAAAATACACTTTAAAAATATGACACAAACTGGAAAAAGTTATTTTTAATACATATAATATAGGAAAATTAAGCTGTAAAAACTAAAATTTAAGTCTTATAAGCTTATATCTATCTATACATATGACATTTTTATATTTATAAAAATAATAAGAAATTCAGTGCCACTCCAGGGATGAGAGCTAGCTTATGAAAAGGAAGCATAGCAGGTCAATACATAATGTGAAAAGATTTCCACGCTTATTAGTAATCAGATAAACACATTTCAAATCACTACGAAGTATCATTTAATTCTCAAGAGATGGGCAAAATGAAGTCTGACAATAATTTATTGGCAAGAAAATTCATTAGTGTGAACAATTAAACACTTCTAGTGGGGGTTGAAATTTATACAGCTAGTTATAGTAAAGTTGTAAACACAAATATAGTGCATAGAACTTCTAGTCTTAGGCATTTGTTCTAAAGAAACATTAGGTATTTGGACAAGGAAGCATGCACAGGGATGTTAACAGAGGTGTAGGTCATAATAGCAAACAGAAAGAAAAGAAATAACCAGAATTCTATCATGGAAAAGGTTCTCAGAAGCAAAATTCCTGCACCCTTGGTTATGGATCCACAGAGGCTTAATGTGAAGGGGGCATTCAGATCAAATGCTCAAAGTGGAGTAAGATATCATTGTCTTTCACAGAATCACTTCATAGACTGCAGCAGATCTCCCTTGACCAACCCCCCGAAACCAGTCAAATTCTTCATTTTCCCCAAAGTGAGGACTCCCACATTAAGAAGCCCTCAGTACTGAGATAACTAGCGATAAATTTATCCATTGCAAGGGTGGTCTTGATGCAGGGCCAGCAAGCCTCAAAACTGGGGCTTCACCCGAGAGTGTTCTTGGCTTCACTCGGGAAAGATTCCAAGGATGAGACAGTGGTGTTAGACAGCAACTTTTATGGAACTAAGCTACTCCTTGAAGAGCAGGGTTACCCTATAGGCAGTGTGCCCAGAATAGTAGCTCAGAGGCAGTTCTGCAGTCATATTTATACCCACTTTTAATTATATGCAAATTAAGAGGTGGACTATGCAGAAGTTTCTAGAAATAGGGTAGAAATTTCTGCATAATCCACCCCTTAATTTATAGATGGTAACTCCAATTACCACTTCAATGACCCCAGTGGGTCATTATTGCCATGGAAAGAAGTGGTAACCTCTGGGTGTTGCCATGGCAATGGTAAACTGACATGGCACACTGGTAGGCATGTCTTATGGAGAGGTGCTTCTGCCCCATCCCTGTTTTAGTTAATTCTCAATTTGATCTGATGTCTGAGCCTCACCTACTACTTCAGTCTTATGACCCCCAGACTCCCCAGCTGATAAGAAGATGCATGAGTAAAGGAGGCAATTGAGAGATGCTTCCTTTCAGTGTCCAAGTGTCAAAAAGAATTCTTAGTCTTAATTAAAATTTAGATATAAGAAATCTACTGAAAGAAAGTGATTACAGAATTTACAAGTTGATTTGGTGATGCCTCAGCAAGAGTGAGAAATATACAATAAACTACAAGACAGAAAATCCATAAGAGCTAAAAATGAGCATTTTGTGGTACCAATCTTGCTGTAAAAATCTTAATATTTTGTGTATCTTTCTCAGCACTAGACTAGAACCTATATGCCAATGGGTAGTGATACACATCTGTCACTGGTAAAGTTGCATACCAATTCACAATCCTATTCTCATACCCAAGTTATTACTACACATTGCTCTTGAGTCAGTAGCTGCATTTGCCACCCTGGCTCAAAATATCAGCCATCACATTTAGTAAATTCTATCATACAAAGCAAATTAGCACTGATTTATCAGATTTACCAATGGGTGGGGTGAGGAGGAGGAGGGCGCTGGCTGACTTAGCCCAGGCCCTGAAGAGCCCTGTTCCAGAGAATATGCTTGTGCTCTTCCTTATGGCCCAGCATATGCACAGGGCTCCAGTCATTTGCCTCCAGCAGGAGGCTCTTCCACACTCATTCACAGTCAGCTGGATTCCAATCTCTGCTCAAGTGTGAGCAATGCAGATCCAGGCCCCTGGTTAATGTAGTCATCACTGTTCAAGCCCAGTCTCTTTCAGATGTTGAGACAGTGGCCCTAACTCTGTGTGGCTGGCCCAGAGCTGTGCACCTACCCTCACTTTCATACCACATTAATTTCAGATCCTTATTGTCACGGGTTTCCCAACTACTTTTTTTTCTTCAGGGGAAACCTCCACAATGTAGTTTCTAATATGTTGAATTCATACTCCAGAAAGTGTCCTGTAGAATAATGTCTTACTGAAAACGGCCATCACAGCCAGGAGTCCTTAACTATGTTCTTCGATACCCTTAGTTACAGTTTGTTGTCATGTTCTTCACATCTTGTGTGAAGATTGTTCAAGTGTTGGCCAAAGGATATGTCACTATCTAAAATTCACATTGAGAACCTCAGAGTAACTAATAATAAGTGTGATGCTTGTAGGAAAAGAAGAGCTATTTGGTCACAGGATGTGGTTATTAGAATAGGGTTGTGGTTGAAGGGGAAGGATGATGACATAAATCTTTGCATAAACCACATTAACATGAAACCTTGATATTATCATTACATACTTTTCTTTTTATCTAATAAGGCAAAGTAGAGAAGTCAGCATCATTTGTCTCTGGCAGACTAAACTGTCAAGAAGGCATACCCAAGGTTGGTGGCAGGGGGAGCTTCATTAGCATTAGGAATAATAGAAAATATCAAAGAATAAGTTTTGTAAGAAATACATAGACTCAACAGAAAGTAAAAAATGTACTTTACTGAAAAGAAAACAAACTATAAATGAATCATGAAGTTGGATGGAGATATAATCTATAGATTTAAAACTATTTTTATTCAAAATAATGAGATTTTAAAAAATAATAAATGTTCTGAAAGTCTAGGATAAGTATACTGTCCTGTATTGTTGATTTTTTAAAGAGTAGTAGAGTGTATTATATAGCATATTATATAAAGGCATGGGCCTGAGTTAGGCAGTCTTTTTGTTTGTTGAGGTAAAATTCATATAACAAAATTAACCCATTTTAAGGTGCACAACTCAGTAGCATTTAGTGCATTCACCCATGTTGTACAACCATCACTTCTATGTAGTTCCATAACATTTTCATCACCTCCAAAGGAGACCTTGTATCCATTAAGCAGTCACTCCCCATTCCCACTTCCTCCTCAGCAACCACAATCTGGTTTTAGACAGGTCTTGTTTTGCATCTAGGGTGGTGATTTCTACATCAATCTATGCAGAAGGAGCTTAGGCCCAGAATTCTGCATGGTGGGTAGGGACTGTGGCTTGTCTTGAAGCTAGATGTGCTTGCATAGCAAATGCTTTATCTTTATTTATGTGTGTTTGGGTTATTTAAAAAAGAATGTCTTATAAATATTATGGCTATATTGTTAATTTTCAAAGTGTTTTTGTTGTTTTACCTATGGAGAAAAGATTAATACCAATTTGATTTGTTTTACAAAGGGACTACATTCTTCAATGTTTGTGAAAATAATAATTAAAATTTTGTTTGGCTGTGTTTTGTGTATATATTTAAAGCTGTCTTGAATTTCTAATCTATCTGTTTTAAGTTTTTCTTTTTGTTTATCCTTATTGCGCTCTTAAAATGTTTTCTGTTTCTTCATATTATTTTACATGTAAGAGCGACTAAAAAATGGTCATGAGTTTGAAGAAATCAGATGGAATTTGGGGCTAATGTTTCAGGGTCTGATTCCTTCACTGGGGGACCATGAAGGCCATAGCGTGGAATTATTTTCTCTGGGCCCATTCAATTTCTTCTGAGAGGAAACTTCATGTATTTTGTTTGAGGGATAGATGCCAGCCACCTATGTGGCAGAGGTCAGAGTGGAAGAGAGGTGGGGTTAGCTGTTCTGCATATAATCTTTCAATTAATCTCCTTAAGTGTCCCCAAGTTTTTTTTTAAAAATGTTTAAATAAATACTCTTTCAAGTATATGGTGAAGTTTTTACAGCCACTAAAAATAAGATTTTATGAAACTGTTTAGTGATGTAGAAAATTGTCTAATCTGTGGGAAATTATCCACAGATTAAGTAAAAAACAAAAAACTACAAAGACTAATACTACAATTCTGTAAATGCATCTATACTGTGATATTTATATTTATAAAAACAGGAAGGATCTTAATGACACTCAGAAGACTATGATTAGATGATAGAAGAACCACTACATTTTTCTCCTCCCAACAGTCTTAATAGGGCCTGCAGGTCTAAGGTGAGTGGCCTTGAAAAATCTCTGTTCAGGGAAATTTGTATGGAACATTTTAATGTGGACATTGTGTAGAACTTTGCCTATACTGTCCCTGTAGTGTCTTTTTTCCTCTTCTGCAGGTCTTCATGGTCCCCTGGGATCATAGCCACAAGGTTTCTGTTCCCAGTTGAGCTCTCAGGTCTACTTTTCAATCCTTTTACATAACTTTACCCATCTCTACCTCTCCCTTCCCTCCAAAGGGTTCCTTTTTATCCACTGTCCTCATGGAAGTAAAACAATGACCTCACCATACCTCACAAATAAACAGAAGAAGAAAGATGTGAATCCTCCCTAAATCTGATGTCTTAAACTTGAAACCCATGAACCCTGTGGTACTCAGGTGAGCAGAGATAGAAGAGCACTACGCAGGTTCACACTCTTTTCCCTGAAGAAGGAAAAATTCAGAAAAAAACTCCAGTCTGTAGTTTTAGAGCAACGTTTTTGTGGGACCCTCCCAGACTGGAAATTTGTGGTCCTCCTCTTCTGGGGTTGGGAGCAAGCCCTGAATCTTCAGTGCCATGTAGCCTGGTCTAAGCTCAGGAACATTTCTTTACGTTTTGATGAAGCTGCAAAGTTTTATTAGCCATAACATGTTTGAATCTGTAAGATTTCTAAGTAAGTCTGACAATAAAATTTCAGATTCTTCAGCTGACCGGAAGACTTCAAAGTGCCTTCACTTTTTAAATCACCTGTAGATGAATTATACTGGACCTGACCAAAAGTGTTTATCTGTGCATAAATCAAATACAGTCAACTTTCCCTATCCAAGGTTCCACATCTGTGGATTCAACCTACCATGGATTTAAATCTGTGGATATGGGTTATTACAGCATTTTATAGAAGAGGCTGAGCATCCACAGATTTTGATATCAGCTGGGTTCCTGGAACCAATCTCCTGGGGGTACAGAGCCACAGTCAAGTATGAGAAACAAAGAGAAGAGGAAGGGCCCATTTCTGCCCATAAGTCATCTACAGAGGAGGGCTTAATCAGCTGCATTAATGCAGATTTCCACCTCAGGGCTGGCCCTGGAGAAACACCTCTAGATGAAGACAATTGGATGTGTAAGTGGCCAGATCCACATGCAATTACTTCTTTAGAATAATAAAGTTGTGGCTTGACAAATGGTCCCTTGTCTGTGATAGGAGTCGTGGCATAAATCCCCTTCTGGGCTACAGTGTAGCACAATTGCCCTCTCTCTAGTGTGTCACTCTGAAGTTAGACTGCCTGGGTTTGAATTCTGGCTCCATTTCTTACTAGTGGTGTAGCTTTAGTCAAGTATCCAACTCATTTCGACTTTCTTTTGATTTCCTTTGCATGGTGTATATTTCCATTCTTTTTACTTTTAATGAAGGTATGTCTTTATATTTAAAATGGGTTGCTGATAGTTTACAGTTCAATATTCCATTTTTATTCAATCTGTTCTTCTCCATTTCCTAATTGGTAAAATGGGGGAGGGAGATATAATAATACACCTACTTAATAGTATCATTCTAAAAATTAAGTCAGTTAATACAAGTATGGTAAAAGCAATTAGAAGAACATCTGGCATGTGGTAAGTACTCAATACATATCAGGCACTATCATCTTACTATCAATTATTATTATCATCATCATGACTGGGAGGTAACATGGCAATTAGTCTTCATTTTCTCACCAGCCTGGCTGATGAACATCCAGTATATCTGAAGAGAAAGTTTCAGAATCAAAAACAAAAAGAGGCCTGGCTTTCTTTATATTGGGTGGAAATAAGGAGGAGGGAAGGAATATGAGAGGAACAGGTAATTTGTCCTTTTAGTTTTATTTTAACTACCTCCAGGAAATTAACCTATTCTCACATATCTGGGGAAACAACCGGGTCCATTCCTTCACTTTAATTCTGATTTTTTCCCAAAATTTACACATCCCAGGATTTCTGGCAGACTTTAAACTGCAAACATCAGGTTCATACCAGTAAGCCAAACTCGTAGTTGATTTGGAGGTTCATTGTCAATTTAGTGAACAGTGCCTAGATCATAAGATTCAACTGGCACATCCTGAAACTCACTGGAGACTGCACAGACTAAAGAAATGAAGCATCCTCTACTTTTTCACAAGTGCAAACACATTAAGATGCTGCTACTTTTTCCCTGTAGACCTGTGGGCATGAGCCGTCCTTGGGTTAAGTCACTTGATAGTGACTCAAAGCACAAAGCACAGGGTAATGCTTGTTCTTTTCTTTCTTTCTTTCTTTTTTTTTGCAACAGAGTTTCACTCTTGTTGCCCAGTCTGGAGTGCAGTGGCATGATCTCGGCTCACTGCAACCTCCACCTCCCAGGTTCAAGCGATACTCCTGCCTCAGCCTCCCAAGTAGCTGGGATTACAGGCATGTGCCACCACACCCAGCTCATTTTGTATTTTTAGTAGAGATGGGGTTTCACCATGTTGGTCAGGCTGGTCTTGAACTCCTGACCTCAGGTGATCCACCCACCTTGGCCTCCCAAAGTGCTGGGATTACAGGCATCAGCCACCATGCCCAGCCTACCTGTTCTTTAACTTGATTGTTGAACCCTTCACTTCTCTGGTTAGTTAATTTTCCAGACAGAGAGCGCTGAAAGGACACCCATGTATCATGTGTTATTTACAATTCCTCACCCCAACCCCCAATCTCCACAACCTCACTCCCTTCTAGTCAGGTTTTGGTGACAATTTGCCCTTGCAGAAGCTGGGTTTAAGTGAAACCAAAATAAGACATTAAATATTTTCCTCTTCAGCAAATCAGAACCCTGTGGGAAGCAGCATTATCTGTCTCTGGCAGACTAAGCCATGAAGACCATAAGAAAAAATATTTAGTGATGGAGGAAGGAAAAAAGTATCCATTAACAAGAGCAAAATAATATAAAAAGTATTTAACAAGGAATATAAAGAATCATCAGAGAAAGTGTTATAAAACTTTTTTGAGACAAGAGAAGATGAATAAGTGGAGAAGAACATGGTGTTCACAGAGAGAAATATAGTAGATAGAATTAATACAGTTTCAAATTATGTATTTTCCTGTTGTTGGGTGGAGTGTTCTGTAAATGTAACTTACAGCTTAGTCAAGTTACTTGTTAGCACTGTTCAGTTATTCTATATCCTTATTGACTTTCTGCTTAATTTTTCTATGAATACTAAGAAATGAGTATAAAATCTCCAATGATAATTTTGGATTTTTCTATTTCTCCTTCCTTTTATGTCAACTTTGTCTCCTGTATTTTGAAGCTCTGTTGTTAGGTGCATATGCATTTAAGATTGTTATGTCTCTTTAGAGAAATAACCCTTTATCATTAAGTGATGTCTGTCTTTATCCCTATTAGCATTTCGGGCTCCAATTTCTACTTTGTCTAGTATTGACATAATCATTCTGACTTTCTTTTGATTTCTTTTGCATAGTATATATTTCCCTTCTTTTTACTTTTAATGAAGGTATGTCGTTATATTTAAAATGGGTTGCTGATATGTTATAGTTCAATATTCCATTTTTATTCAATCTGTTCTTCTCTATCATTTAATTGGTCTGTCTGGACCAATTATATTTAACATCCTTATTAATATGTTGAATTATTTTTGCTAGATATTTCTATTAATTCGATGAAATATTTATTTCTAAAATCATTTTTTTGCTTTCTTTTGGATTAGTTGTTGCCCTAGAATTTTACATATATGTATAATCTATCTTCAAATCTACCTTAGATTAGCATACTCCAGATTTCTCTTATTCACTGTGCAATTGTTGTCATATAATTTCTTTCTCATATTCTGTAAACACACAATACATTGCTACTATTTTTATTTTAGACAGTCTGTTACCTCATAAAGCAATGATTCTTAAATGGGAGCAACTTTCCCCTCAAGTGGCATTTGACAATGTCTGGAGATAGTTTTTGTTGTCACTAATGGGGAGGCTGCTACCGGCATGTATTGGATAGAGGCCAGGGGTGCTGTTAAAAGTCCTGTAACACACATGACAGCCTCCCACAAAAAAATAATTATCATCTGGCTCAAAATATTAATAGTTCTCAGGTTGAGAAACCTCATTTTAGAGATTTTTAAACTTTCATTTTAAGTTCAAGGGTACATGTTCAGGTCTGTTACAAAGGTAAACATGTGTCATAGGGGTTTGTTTTATAGATTATTTCATCACCCAGGTATTAAGCTTAGTAACCAATAGTAATTTTTCCTGATCCTCTCCCTCCTCCCACCCTCCACTCTTCAATAGGTCCCAGTGTGTGTGGTTCCCCTCTATGTGTCCATGTATGTATTATCATAATTTTGCTCCCACTCATAAGTGAGAACATGCAGTATTTGGTTTTCTGTTCCTGCATTAGTCTGCTAAGGATAATGGTCTCTAGCTCCATCCACGTCCCTGCAAAGAACATGATCTCATTACTTTTTTTTTTTTTTTTTTGAGACAGAGTCTGGCTCTGTCGCCCAGGCTGGAGAGCAGTGGCACAATCTCTGCTCCCTGCAAGCTCCGCCTCCAGGGTTCACGCCATTCTCCTGCCTCAGCCTCCCAAGTAGCCACCACACCCAGCTAATTTTTTGTATTTTTAGTAGAGACGGGGTTTCACTGTGTTAGCCAGGATGGTCTTAATCTCCTGACCTCATGATCTGCCCACCTTGGCCTTCCGAAGTGCTGGGATTACAGGCGTGAGCCACTGCGCCCGGTCCAATCTCATTCTTTTTTATGGCTGCATAGTATTCCATGGTGTATATTACCAAATTGTTTTTATCCAGTCTATCATTGATGGGTATTTAGGTTGATTCCATGTCTTTGCTATTGTGAATAGTGCTGCAATGAGCATACGTGTACACGTGTCTTTATAATAGAACGATTTACATTCCTTTGGGTATATAACCAGTAATTGGATTGCTGGGTCAAATGGTATGTCTGCCTTTGGGTTTTGAGGTATTGCCACACTGTCTTCCATAATAGTTGAACTAATTTACACTCCTGCCAACAGTGTATAAACGTTCCTTTTTCTCCACAACCTCCCAGCATCTGTTAGTTTTTGACTTTTTAATAATAGCCATTCTGACTGGTGTGAGATGGTATCTCATTGTGGTCTTGATTTGCATTTCTCTAATGATCAGTGATGTTGAGCTGTTTTTCATATGATTGTTGGCTACATGTATGTCTTCTTTTGAGAAGTGTCCATTCATGCCCTTTGCCCACTTTTTTATGGAGTTGTTCATTTTTTTCTTGTACATTTAAGTTTCTTATAGATGCTGGATATTAGACCTTTGTTGGATGCATAGTTTACAAAACTTTTCTCCCATTCTGTATGTTGTCTGTTCACTCTGCTGATAGTTTCTTTTGCTGTGCTCTTTAGTTTAATTAGATCCCATTTGTCAATTTTTGCCCTTGTTGCAATTACTTTTAGCATCTTCCTCATGAAATCTTTGCCCATGTCTATGTCCTGAGTAGTATTGCCTAGGTTGTCTTCCAGGGTTTTTATAGTTTTGGGTTTTACATTTAAGTCTTTAATCCATCTTAAGTTAATTTTTGTATATGGTGTAAGGAAGGGTTGCAGTTTCAACCTTCTGCATATGGCTAGCCAGTTCTCCCAGCACCATTTATTGAATAGGAAATCCTTTCCCCATTGCTTGTTTTTGTCAGGCTTGTTGAAGATCAGATAGTTGTAGGTATGAGGTCTTATTTCTGGTTGTCTATTCTGCTCCACTGGTCTATGTGTCTGTTCTTGTACCAGTACCACGTTGTTCTGGTTACTGTAGCCCTGTAGTATACTTTGAAGTCGGGTAGTGTGATGCCTCCAGCTTTGTTCTTTTTGGTTAGGATTGCCTTGGCTATTCAGGCTCTCTCTAGTTCTGTGAAGAATCTCAATGGTAGTTTTTAATAGGAATAGCATTGAATATATAAATTGCTTTGGGCAGCACTTGCTTTTAAAGTTTTTATTAAAAATTATTTGTCATTAGTTTAATAATTAAGGCTAAGGAAAGGTATCTGTATAGCCAGGTGGGGTGGTGTGCCCCTGTAGTCCCAGCTACTTGGAAGACTGAGGTGGGGCCTGGGAGTTTGAGGCCAGCCTGAGCAACACGGTGAGACCACATCTCTAAAAATAAATAAGTAAATAAAAAGACCTATACAAAGAATGTTTACAATATGCACATTAGGACTGGAGAGTTCCTGGGAAGAGAATCAATCACTACTGGACATGAGGAATATCAGTCTCCAGACAGTCAGCTTTGTAAACTGATTCAGATGATTAAGAATTTCAGTCTAAGTCAACAAGTAGTTATTGATTACATACCATAGTATCTGCAAAGTCTTCATGAAATAACCTATTTGGTTTAGCTGTAGAATACTCAGGAGCTATGGAGAAGGTAGATCTGGACATGGAGGTAATTTTGCATGTTTTTCAGTAGAAGACCATTACAAAGCAATCTTTCCTCATTTTATTATTATTATTTTAAGACGAAGTCTCGCTCTGTTGCCCAGGCTGGAGTGCAGTGGCGCGATTTCGGCTCACTGCAAGCTCTGTCTCCTGGGTTCATGCCATTCTCCTGCCTCAGCCTCCTGAGTAGCTGGGACTACAGGTGTCTGCCACCATGCCTGGCTAATTTTGTTTTTATATTTTTGGTAGAGATGGGGTTTCACCGTGTTAGCCAGGATGGTCTCGATCTCCTGACCTCGTGATCTGCCCACCTTGGCCTCCCAAAGTGCTGGGATTACAGGTGTGAGCCACTGCGCCCGGCCTCCTATTATTTTTTATTGTGCAGTTTATTCAAGTGAGTTATTTAAAACAACTAGTTCATACACATAGGAGTTGTTGCTGACAAAGAATTGGTGGAAATGATATTAAATAACAAACAATTGTTTTTATAAGTTTCCTCTGCTTCATTAATTTTATGATTGTGAGAGACCACGTGACTGGATATCAGCATACAGGACTTTGTATCAGAATATGAGCTTGGCAGTCATAAGAGATTACTTACAATTCTTCACAATTCTGTATTTTCATTTGTAAAACTCCATAAAGTTTTTTATAAGAATAAATTGTAGCACCTTATTCATACTGGAATTCAACAGTTCTTAGTTCAAGTCTCCCTTGAGAAAGCTTCACTGTGTTTTTAGTGCAGATTAGTAAAGACAAGATCTTGACTGGTAGGTGAGTGTGTGGAATTTATTTCAAATATGGGGGCTCTCCAACACTCGCACACCAAATTCATTTACATATTGCCAAAAGCCAGAGGATATTTATGATAAGTTGCAAAAATAGCTACAAATTCTTTGTAGCCCATTCTGTCAAGAAATGCAATCTATTAACCCACCTTTTGATGTGAGCTAGTACTATGACTTGCTTTGAATAATAGAATGTAATGGAAGTGATGTCGTGAGTTTTAAGTTCAGCTCAAGACACCTGCTGTTTCTATCTTGCACAGGAGAGCTTTCCAGCACCTGTGATAAGCCTCAGCCCCCCTGCTGGATAATGAGTCCACATGAATGGAGACAGGCCCCCTATATCTGCCAAACCTATTGATGCTACAGAGATGTGAGGGGGCCCACCTGAGAAAAGCTGAACCTGCCCAGTACATAAAGACCACTCAGGTGGGTTAAGCACAATTTGCTGTCTTACAGAATCATAAGGAGATACTAAACCATTATTTGAAGTCATTAAATTTTGGAATACTTTGTTACATAGAAAATCTGACAGATAAAACAGCCTTCAAAAAAATTGTGTTTTTCAGCAATGTCTTAGTGCTTCTGTGGCTCACAGGCTCCCACATGCCTGGAGTGCTACGGGGAGAAGGTTAAATGAATGAGGAAAAATTGACAGGCTTTCCCAGCCCAAAGCATGATGTTATTATCATTATCATTATTAATATTTGTCTTTATGTAGCAGCTACCACTTGGGAATAGATGCTGTATGTCAGACACCAGATTGTATTTAACTTTATAATTGCACTTATCTATCATTTCATTTTACCATATTAACTATCACCTAATAATTTTCCTTCTGTTTTATAGAAAATAACCTTAAGACTCAGGTATTTTGAGTGACTTGCTCAAGGTGCTGCAGCTGATAAAATCAAAAGCAGCATGGAATACATATTTATCTTATTACAAAACCTATATTCTTTTCACTGTGCTACTCTAGACTCTGTTATTGTTGTGAAGCACCTTTAACCACTGCAAGACAGAAGTCTTGGCCTTCAGAGTAAAACTTTACCAGTGCATAAAGTCAGACTAAAATAATTTGAAAATATACAGAGTCTTAGAGAACGTTATAACTGTTTATTAGAACTAACATAAATTCTACCTAATTTCTTAGAGGGCTCTTAATGATGTGAATTATAATGGCACATCCCATTGCTATTTTAGTTATGGAATCAATGGCATGTCAATAAGTGCTTTCTGAGAAAATTGTTGGACAAAGTACTATTTTGAACTCCAAATTTTATTCCCACTATTAATTTATGAAGAGAACCTTTTCTCTTTCTACTAGACAAAGGTAACAAATTAGCTTTTGTTAAAATGGCATACTGTTCTTCTGAGTTTCATTTACTTATTACTTTACCTTACATTAAAATTATGACCTGAAGACAGAAGGAACTGGAACAATGTTCACTGTGTTATGGCCGGATGAAGCAGGAAGAGGAGAAGAGACAAAACTAGGTTAAAGGTAGAAATGTCATCTGTTGGGCCAGGCGTGGCCTCACGCCTGTAATTCCAGCACTTTGGGAGGCCGAGGCGGGCGGATCATGTGGTCAGGAGGTCGAGACCATCCTGGCTAACACGGTGAAACCCTGTCTCTACTAAAAATACAAAAAATTAGCCAGGCGTGGTGGCAGGTGCTTGTAGTCCCAGCTACTTGCAGTGAGCCGAGATCGCGCCACTGCCCTCCAGCCTGGGCGACAGAGCAAGACTCTGTCTCAAAAAAAAAAAAAGAAAAGAAAAGAAGTGCATCTATAATCTCTTCAATGACTTTGCCTTGGACTTTCCCTTCACCCCACAGGATGTGAGATCTGAAACTGCACCCTCAACTTCCCATCCAAGATGCAATTCTAATCCTACATTTAACACCCTAACTTCTTAACTGGAGTTGAGTTATTTAAACTGTAATTTTAATAGGTGAAATTCTGGACTACCATCCCAAAACATTTTGTTCATTTGCCAAAGTCCTAAGGAATTTCCATTAGATACAAAGCAGGTAAGTCTGGATACAGGAAAAAAAATAAAAACATGTTATTTGCTACACAGCAAAAAGGATATTGAGTGGTAAAGGGAGCACATCTCAAATGGGACCTCAAAAACCCTCTTCATTCACAATGGCAGGAGCTAGAAAGAATAAAGCCACCTATAGGGTCAAATATCTCTCCTAATCATGTTAAGGCACTGGATTCTGAATTCGCACAGAAGGAGACTCTCACCCATCACTCCTCACAAGGACTCATGGCTTGCCCCATAGCATCACATCTGTGCTGCTTACCAGCTGTGTGACCCTGGGAAAAGTCCTTCAACTCTCTGGGATTTAATGTCCTCCTTGGAAAATGAGAATGATATTAAAATATGACAAGTATATGTAAAGAGTCCAGGAATTTTTCATTCCAAGTACAGTATATGTATATTCCTCACAACTGCCTAATGAGGTACCTCAATGCCTCCAGCCAAAGACCAGCAGGAGCATCCAAGCAATGAACAAGTTGACTTTATTATTCATTGCAATGATGGATAAAACTCACCATGAGAATCATGCAGTAAGAGATTGTTGGAACCGAATAAGTAGAACCAGGAGAATACATATATTAAGAGAATGATGCAACGAATTAATTTTTGCATCTGTAGGGGTGGGCTAGGCAAATCAGAGATCCACTGGGTGGTAGTTGTCAGGAAGGGCAGGCTGGAACTCTCAGCACAGGCTGACACGCTGTCCAGAGTGGAATTTCTTTTTCCTCAGAGAAACCTCAGCTCTGCTCTTAAGGCTTTTCAACAGCTTAGATTAAGCTCACCCAGTTTTTCTAGGATAAATTCTTAAAGTCAACTGATTATGAATTTCAATGACATCTACAAAATATCTTCACAGCAACACCTAGATTATTAGTGTTTGATTTGATAACTGGGGATCACAGTCTAGCTGACACATAAAATTGACCATAAATCAATTGTAAGGTTTGTGCTTGTTTTAGGTGATTTTGGGGAGGATTTAAGAATGAGAGATTTTGCTTTTAGTTGGATTCTGACAGAAAGTGGAGGGTTGGGGTGGCAATGTTATGATTGGGTAGCTTCATAAATCCTACCTAGAGGGACAGAAGACTATCCTGAGGCTACAGATGTGATGGTAAAGAAGCAGTAATCACTCCCGAGAGAGACATACCTGGTCATTTTTGTGGTTTGGACAATATTCATGTTTTGTCTGGGTTCAGACATGATGACTGAGCATTCTGGTATTCTGTCTCAATCCACTGTGCTCACAGAATCCACTGTGCTCACAGAGTACTTGTCTGATTCTGATGTTCTGTGAAATCCTTTATCTTCAATAGGAGAACCAAAACCACCTGGGAGTGCCAGCCTAGCTCCTAGCAACCCCAAGGCCTTGTTAATTGCAACCAGGCAGCTCTCAGGGGTCAGGACATTTTTTTTGTTTCACCTTTTTTTTTTTTTTACAGTCTCTGCCAGTGGGAGGTAAAACAGTGTTGAGAATCTCAGAAGGCCATTTATCAAGGACAGAGTGATTCTAAATAGATCTTCCATTAACTTACGGTTTCTATCATATACAGAAAGTAGATGTATCTGAAAAAAATAATAAGTTTTGTTCTAATGACTAACTTTAGCTCAATCCCTAGTCCCTTGCAAATATTTGGAATTTTAGTGTGGTAGGATAACAAATTTTAAAAGATCTGGTAGTTTAAGAAAAGAAAACCATTTTTCTAAGTCAGTGCAATTCTTATTCTACCCTCAACTTTTGACTTGACATTCTTAATTAAAAAAAAAAATTCTTAGAGTAATTGAGCCAGCCAAATTTTAAATGTAATCAATGTCCCTAAATTTCCTTTAAACATATGCAAGAAGCACCAAAACACAGAACGTAAAGATTACTCAATGTAAAGAAAAACTGTATAAAATCTCATACAGTTACTGTAGACAGCACCATCTGGCATTATAACCTTTTTTTATTGCCGTGGCCAAAACCACCTGGATCTTTTGAGAGCTTGAGAATAACTTACCAAACTGGATTTATACAAGTAGAAAAGGCAAAGGTGTTGATCGGCTACCACCAGCAGAGATCCCTAGGTAGGTGGGGTCAACTTAACATTTGGAGAATTCCATATGCACTATGGAAGCAAAAAGAAAAAGCAACTAACCCACATACAGAAGCCAGAGAAAGGGGAGGGGATGGGGACTGCCAGGGAGGGAAATCGACTCAGGGAAAAATTCCTGGAGGTTGTAACTCAGAAAATCCTGAAGGATGCCGTATAATTGATGATGTCATCTATCCACGAGGCTGCTCAGAAATGCCCACCCCTGGCCAGGGCGGTGGCTCATGCCTGTAATCTGAGCACTTTGGGAGGCTGAGATGGGCAGATCACGAATTCAGGAGTTCGAGACCAGCCTGGCCAACATAGTGAAACTCTGTCTCTACTAAAAATACAAAAATTAGCCGGGCGTGGTGGCAGGTGCCTGTAATCCCAGCTACTTGGGAGGGTGAGACAGGAGAATCACTTGAACCCGGGAGTCAAAGTTTGCAGTGAGCCGAGACCATGCCATTGCACCTCAGCCTGGGTGACAGAGTGAGACTACATCTCAAAAAAAAAAAAAAAGAAAGAAAGAAAAAAAGAAAAGAAATGCCCACCCCTCTTGCCACTGGCAGACATGCACACACCAGAGAAGATTCCGATTTCGTGTCCTCCCTCTATTCACAGAACATTTCCTCAAGTCCACTCTGAGTGGAGGCTGCATCACAACAAGGGGATTGCCCTGTCTCCTTCCAGGGCTCTTAATACAAACTCTTCAACTAGTAACTGAGGTGTCATCATAGGGGATTTTTCTAATTAGCCAAAACCTGACTTGGCAGGGTTTGGTTTGGGTGTCTTCAGATTGCCTTGTCTCGAGGTCCTCACAATTGCTCTACAACTCAGAACAGCAACTGCTAAGGCTGCCTTGGGAAGAGGATGATCCTAAACAAAGCTCTGATGCTGGGGGCCCTTGCCCTGACCACCGTGATGAGCCCCTGTGGAGGTGAAGACATTGTGGGTGAGTGTATGAGTGAGGGATGTTCTCTGGAGCTGGAAGAGAGGAAATTGAAGCAAAAGAGAGAAAGCGATTTGCAGAGAAATTGTAGAGATTTCCTAAGGGTCCCTTCAGTATTAAGAGATTTAAAAATTATGGCTGTTCCTCCTTCAGGAAACCAGAGTCCCAACCTACTCTTTTTGTTATCTATGCTGTTGGCGTTCACTAAGGATGCTATTCTGTTTATATTGTATTCAGTGACTATAGCCTGGAGGTCTCTATGTCATTCCATCATGATTGCCTCAAAAATTAGTGAGGTTTCCATCAATGGATAATTTTTTATTATTAAAAATTTGTGAAGTATCATTCTCAAATTTCCCTGAACAACTTTTGAAGCTTTTCGGATGTCTCCTGTAGTAGCGCTTGGGGTAAATGATTCCATCAATTATATACTCTATAGATATTAAGAAAGATGCCCTTTTCTTTCTCTCAGACTTACTAACATTTCCACGTGGGAACTGGCACAGGTGGGGAGTGGGTAAAGGAGTCCAGCAGGCTGAATGCCTTCAACAATCATTTTACCACATGGTCCTCATTTACTCTCAGCTGCCTCATATGTGTCACCTCACAAATAATCAAATAAAATTGGCATGTAGCTAAGCTTTGTAAATAGTGAAAACATGAATGTCAATTTTATTTTTACATATTTCTATTATAGGTATAGCTTCACATTTCTTTTCTTTTGCAAAATAAGGTATCCTTTTATTTTAAAATTGAGAATTTATAGTAGAAAAACTTGGTAAATTAAATCATTTTATTCTCAAATTATCAACCCAAATTACCTGTTCTTCAACTCATCTAATGAAGTCCTATAAAAAGAAAAGTGGGCCAGACATGGTGGCTCATGCCTGTAATCCCAGCACTTTGGGAGGCCGAGGCAGGAGGATCCTTTGAGCCCAGGAGTTGAGACCAGCCTGGGCAACATAGCAAGACCTCATCTCTACAAAAAATAAAAATTAGCCAGGTGTGGTGGTGCATGCCTGTGGTGCCAGCTACTCAGAAGGCTGCAGTGGGAGGACTGCTTGAGTCCAGGAGGCGGAAGCTGCAGTGAGCCATGATGGCACCACTACACTCCAGCCAGGGCAACAGAGAGAAACTCTGTCTCAAAAAGAAAAAGGAAAGAAAGAGAGAAAGGAAGGAAAGAAAGAAAGAAGGAAGGAAGGAAGGAAGGAAGAAGGGGAAGGGAAGGGAAGGAAGGGAAGGAAAGGGGAGGAAAGAAGGAAGGAAAAAAGAAAAAGAAAGAAAAAAGAAAGAAAAAGAAAGAAAGAAAGAAAAGAGGGAAGGAAAGAAAGAAAAAGGAAGGAAGGAAGCACAGATTAATTATTAATCATTTGGTCTCTCTTAGTCTTCTCTGTCTTTGTCATCCATCTATTTCCACCTCTCTTCATGCATTCCTTTCTCCCTCTTCCCTTTCAGGATCCATCTCTGACTCCCTGCTTCTTTATATGGACAGTGGGGTTTGTAAAACAAAAGTTGAAAAATCAGATAGTTAAAAGGTGAAGTGAACTGGAAGGTCTAAACTTCCACAACCTTATTAACCATGGCTGCTCCCATTCTGATTTTGTTCGACGGTGGAAGTTTCACCTCCTTCTCCAGAGCACTTGGCTTCTTTGTTCCAAATTTCCTTTCTTCAACCTCACACCAGAGTGCCCTGGTCAGGCTCGGCTCATCCATTAGGCACAACATGGGCAATGCAGAGAACCCTCCATACTGTAAAGCCACATGAGAATGTTTTAACTCCTTTTAAGATTAGAAAAAAATGAAATTTCAGAGCCTAAGAAAATGTTTTAATTCAGCCTAGATTGTATTGTCTTTATACCAATTCAGTCATAAAATACAATTTTCCATATTTTCATGGAGGAAGGGGCCCACAAAAGCAAGAGTGCTCAGGGCTCACATGTCAGAATGCAGCCCTGGTCATGGCTGATCCTGGCCTTCTTATGATTCTGCTAGTGTGCCTGTCCATCTTCCCCAAAATCTATGTCGTCCTCAAATATAGCAACTGTAATTCAAAACACGTTTGAGCACACAGTAAGCTAAGTTTTAAGGATTCAAAGATGAAAAGTCATGCTGTCTTCCCTGCAGAGGGTGCTCAGACTAGTGACGGAAACGGTATGGGATGCAGGAAAGCAGAAGGCCATTGCTGACCAGGGCAGTGGACTCAGCAGAGGCTGAAACTATACAAATGACTTGGTTCCAGCTGGGCCAGCAGGGTGACATCCTCCAGCAAAACTCGGCACCCAAGACAAGTCCCAGATGAAAAGAAGGATTGCTTTGTGTTTGATAAGGAGTCAAGGTTTATTGCAAGGATAAGGCTTTGTTGGTGGCCTGTTAAGACAATCCAGGGCAGTCATACTGGATAAGGAAGAAGGTGAGCTGGAAGAGGAACAGACAAACAGCCAGATATTGAGGTGGAGGAGCTGGAGGTCATAACGTGGTCAAAAACATGTCGATGAGAGGACTTAGCTACAAAGTTGTTAACTTAAGCAGAAACCTCAAGGATGAATTTTAGGATTTCTCCAGGAAGTCCTAAAAGATAATTTCATTTCAGGGAGAAAAACAACAAACCACTGGAAAGACCAGGGAACATGAAAGGATAATGTAGTTTGGTTTGCTTGGCAGATACTTATGAAGGATGTTGGACTGTAAGGCTGTTGATAGCCTCCTCACAGAACATGCTACAGTACATTGTATCTGCTCCCTTACCTACCTGACTCTTCCACTCTTCAGTTTGTTCCTTAATGGTAGACCATGCCTGATTGGTGTTTTACACATCCCCTGCTATGTCTGACACTTGTGGATGCTCAGAAAGTGGGGAAGGAAGGAAAGATACAACGGTAAAAGGCTTACACGTCTTGACAGGAATGTCCAGTTCGGCTCATTTGGCTGGAGCCACATTGCACGGCTGCCATTCTGCTCTGGCATCCTCAGACAAGCACACTGCCCATTAGAGGAAAAAGGGTTTAATTTACCTGAGTCCTCAAGTGAATATAAGTGTTAAGTCAGAACACTGTAGACATTTAGTAACCTCCTTCAGAGGAAAAAAAAAGGTGGGGGGAAATGACAGAAATCCAAAAACTAGTAGAGCTTCCACTCTTCATTTCAGAAGAAATCAGTTGCTCTCCTCTAAGGACCATTACTATTAACAAAACAGAGACCTTGAAGGAGGCATTGTTTATTTATTATATATTTTGTAATGTTATTACCATTCTTGTTATACTCTTCCTTATACCCTACAATTGTTAGCAGACATTATTTTAAATTAATAAGATCCTGCATGCTTTTCTTTTTTTTAAAAAAAGAAAGACCTCTGTGTAGAGTGTCCTGTTCTGAGCCAGTCCTGAGAGGAAAGAAAATACAATCAGTTTGTTATTAACTGATGAAAGAATTAAGTGAAAGATGAATCTTAGGAAGCAGAAGGAAGTAAACCTAATCTCTGACTAAGAAAGCTAAATACCATAATAACTCATTCATTCCTTCTTTTGTTCAATTACATTATTTAATCATAAGTCCGTGATGTGCCAGGCACTCAGGAAATAGTAAAAACTGGACATGTGATATTCTGCCCTTGTGTAGCGCACATTATAGTGGGAAAGAAAGCGCAATTTTAACCGGACAACTACCAACAATAAGAGTGGAGGAAGCAGGGGTTGGAAATGTCCACAGGCTGTGCCAAAGATGAAGCCCGTAATATTTGAAAGTCAGTTTCTTTCATCATTTTGTGTATTAAGGTTCTTTCTTCCCCTGTTCTCCACCTTCCTGCTTGTCATCTTCACTCATCAGCTGACCACGTCGCCTCTTATGGTGTAAACTTGTACCAGTCTTACGGTCCCTCTGGCCAGTACACCCATGAATTTGATGGAGATGAGCAGTTCTACGTGGACCTGGGGAGGAAGGAGACTGTCTGGTGTTTGCCTGTTCTCAGACAATTTAGATTTGACCCGCAATTTGCACTGACAAACATCGCTGTCCTAAAACATAACTTGAACAGTCTGATTAAACGCTCCAACTCTACCGCTGCTACCAATGGTATGTGTCAACAATTCTGCCCCTCTTTACTGATTTATCCCTTCATACCAAGTTTCATTATTTTATTTCCAAGAGGTCCCCAGATCTTCTCATGGCAATTGCTGAAATTTTATCATCTCCCATCTCTAAAATCACATATTCCCATGTAATACAAGGGTCTTTCCATTATCCATTCATTAAATCCTTCTCGGAGAGGTCTCATCAACCTCCTACTTTATTAAACATGCCCACAGAGAGAAGGGCACAGGAATAAAGCGAAGGCAATGTGTCGTTGCTCCCAAGCAGAAGGTAAATAAGACCTCTTTGACTATCAGGTGGTGAAATGCTGGTAGGAGGGCTCTTCCAGGATGTAATGCAGAAGCTCATGGCAGAGCTATTCACACTTCACATCAGTGCTGTTTCCTCACCACAGAGGTTCCTGAGGTCACAGTGTTTTCCAAGTCTCCCGTGACACTGGGTCAGCCCAACATCCTCATCTGTCTTGTGGACAACATCTTTCCTCCTGTGGTCAACATCACATGGCTGAGCAATGGGCACTCAGTCACAGAAGGTGTTTCTGAGACCAGCTTCCTCTCCAAGAGTGATCATTCCTTCTTCAAGATCAGTTACCTCACCCTCCTCCCTTCTGCTGAGGAGAGTTATGACTGCAAGGTGGAGCACTGGGGCCTGGACAAGCCTCTTCTGAAACACTGGGGTAAGGATGAGTTCCACCACTTTTTGATGCTTTCTTGTCTGTCAAGTTCAGAACTTCCTGCCTTTTACTCCTATATCCCAAAACTTGTTTTCCACACTTCATGGGTTTCTTTCTTTCTTTTGAAAGAATAAAGCAACAAAAGCAAAGATTTATTGAAAATGAAAGTACACTTCACAGGGTGGGAACGGGCCTGAGCATAGGGGCTCAAGAGCCACTTCATGGTTTTCTAATGATAGACTTCACTCTCCTCCCTAAGCTGGGGACCTTGAGTCTTTGCAGAGCCAACCCTCCACCCCATCCCATCCCACACACATGCACATGAGCACACTCTGCTTTCTGACCTCAACGACTTCATATCCACAGAGCCTGAGATTCCAGCCCCTATGTCAGAGCTCACAGAGACTGTGGTCTGCGCCCTGGGATTGTCTGTGGGCCTCGTGGGCATTGTGGTGGGCACTGTCTTCATCATCCGAGGCCTGCGTTCAGTTGGTGCTTCCAGACACCAAGGGCCCTTGTGAATCCCATCCTGGAATGGAAGGTAAGATTGAGATTTGTTAGAGCTGAATCCGCAGTATGAGAGGAAGGAAAGTGGAGGAGGCTGTGGACATGAATGGTTGAAAGTTGTAGGGGAATTGGGAAGTGGCATGATGATGACATAGGAGCGGCCTAGGACCCATCCATCTCATGTCTGTCCTGTTGCAGGTGCATCGCCATCTACAGGAGCAGAAGAGTGGACTTGCTACATGACCTAGCATTATTTTCTGGCCCCATTTATCATATCCCTTTTCTCCTCCAAATGTTTCTCCTCTCACCTCTTCTGTGGGACTTAAATTGCTATATCTGCTCAGAGCTCACAAATGCCTTTGAATTATTTCCCTGACTTCCTGATTTTTTTCTTCTTAAGTGTTACCTACTAAGAGTTGCCTGGAGTAAGCCACCCAGCTACCTAATTCCTCAGTAACCTCCATCTATAATCTCCATGGAAGCAACAAATTCCCTTTATGAGATATATGTCAAATTTTTCCATCTTTCATCCAGGGCTGACTGAAACCGTGGCTAAGAATTGGGAGACTCTCTTGTTTCAAGCCAATTTAACATCATTTACCAGATCATTTGTCATGTCCAGTAACACAGAAGCAACCAACTACAGTATAGCCTGATAACATGATTTCTTAGCTGACATTAATATTTCTTTCTTCCTTGTGTTCCCACCCTTGGCATTGCCACCCACCCCTCAATTAAGGCAACAATGAAGTTAATGGATACCCTCTGCCTTTGGCTCAGAAATGTTATAGCAAAAATTTTAAAATAAAAAAGTAAGTCTGTACTAATTTCAATATGACTTTTAAAAGTATGACAGAGAAATGGGTTGGGATAAAGGAAATTTGAATCTCAAAAATATCAATAGTGAAAAGTTATTCTCAAAACTTTAAATTTGTGAAGAATGATGACAGTAGAAGCCTTCCTCTCCCCTCCTCACCCTGAAGGAATAAAATTTCCTTAGGCAGGAAAAGAAATGGAAGTCAGAAAAACATTAGAATAAGACAATAATGTGGGTATCTGAAAAGGAACAAATACTCATTCCTCACATAGGGTTAGTGACAATGGGGAAAGGGATGGGAGTAGAAGCTGCAGACATATCTAGGAGCCCTAGAATAGAGGCACAGTCTGCCCCACCTCCTCAATGAAGCTTTGCTAGATAACCATGTAGCTTTCCCTGTGCCAGCCTGGCATGAAGGAGACAGTATAGTGGATATGGCTGCAAGATGTTTCTAGGAAACATGCCGATAAAAAAACAATACCAATATCTTCAGAAATCCCCAGCCCTTTCCCCTAACCCTCCTGGCTAAGGAAAGCACTAGCTTATGAGAAAAACCCTAGGAAGAACAACACAGTTAAGACAATGTAGCAGCAGCTGTGGGTGCTGTGTCCTCCATTGGATTCGCCAACTCCTAGGAGAAACTCTCACAGAGGAAATGGGTCAGCAGTGATCTCATGGCTCTAAACAGCTATGAAATCTGTAAGGATATTTCTATCCATGCTACCTGCATCAGTGAGTTTAAACTTTAATTGTAGAAAAAAGACAAAACATTAATGCAGTAATTGATACAGTATAGTTTGGTGCAAAGAACCCTAAATCCAAATCCAGGACTCAGTACTTTGAAGCTAGTATTTTAAACTTTATAAGTGGGTAAAGTAACTAACATTTCTGGCCTTATTTTTCTCATCCACAATGTAGGAGTAATAATAATTTCCTTGCAGAGTTATTGATGGAATTTGAATAATCTTGATGTATAGTCAATGCCTTACACATAGTATATAAATACACAAGAAAACATTGTGGTTATATTTATAATTAATTTATTTAAAAGAATGGATCACGTTATATGAAAAGTACTTTTGTTTTTCTCAGCCCCTTAATGATTTAGGAGATTCAAATGTAGAGCTATGGGTGAATTTCTTTTCATATGATCATTGGAGGATATTTTTTTTCTCCAGAATGAGAGAGGCTGAGATCGATTGCTAAGAGAGCTCTTAGGACGAGAAATTGTAATATTTGACTTTGGTTTTCAACTCTCTAAGAAGGGATATATTCCCTCCTTATGGCCCGTAAGTGTTTATTCAAGGTATTTCATATGCAACAGATGTTTATGCATGTTTACTTTGGGAAGGAGGTGAAGAAATTTCAAGGAGAAAATAATTTAAAATGCAGACTAGGAATCAGTAAGCACAGGGAGTCTGAATCAGTGATGATCATGAAAATGTCCATCACAGATCACAGAGGATTTTTAGGGCAATGAAACTACTCTATTTGATACCACAATGGTGAAAAATGTCATTATGCATTTGCCCAAATCCACAGAATGTACAACACCAAGAGTGAGACTTAATGTAAACTATGGACTTTGGGTGATAATGATGTGCCAATGTAAGTACATAAATTATAGCAAATGTACCACTCTGGTGGGAGATGTTGCTAATGGGGGAGGCTACACATGTGTGGGAGCCAAGTGTATCTGGCAGCAGTCCCCAACCTTTTTGGCACCAGGGACCAGTTTTATGGAAGACAATTTTTCCACAGATAGTGGTTGGAATGTGGATATGATTTGGGGATGAAACTGTGAAACTGTTCCACCTCAGATCAAAAAGCATTAGCTAGGTTCTCATAAGGAACATGCAACCTAGATCTCTTGCATGCACAGTTAACAATAGGATTCGCACTCCTATGAGAATCTAATGCCACCACTGATCTGACAGAAGGCGGGGCTCAGTTGGTAATGCTAACTCGCCCACTGTGTGGCCCAATTTCTAACAGGCCACCAGCTGGTACTGGTCCATGGCCCAGGGGGTTGGGGTCCTCTGGGATATCTCTGCACCTTCTGCTCAGTTTTTCTGTGAACCAACAACTGCTTTAAAATAAAGTCTATTGATAGACTGGATTAAGAAAATGTGGCACATATACACCATGGAATACTATGCAGCCATAAAAAATGATGAGTTCATGTCCTTTGTAGGGACATGGATGAAGCTAGAAACCATCATTCTCAGCAAACTATGGCAAGGACAAAAAACCAAACACCGCATGTTCTCACTCGTAGGTGGGAATTGAACAATGAGAACACATGGACACAGGAAGGGGAACATCACACACCGGGGACTGTTGTGGGGTTGGGGGAGGGGGGAGAGATAGCATTAGGAGATATACCTAATGCTAAATGACGAGTTAATGGGTGCAGCACACCAACGTGGCACATATGTACATATGTAACAAACCTGCACATTGTGCACATGTACCCTAAAACTTAAAGTATAATAATAATAAAATAAAAAATAAATAAAAATAAAAATAAAAAGGAGAAGAAAAGGTAACCAATTATGATCCCAAATATATAAAATAAAACTTTTAGTATGAAAAAGTCACATTCAAATGCACAAATGCGCTAAGAAATTTTTAGCAATAAGATTTCAAATAAATTTCATATAAATTTCAATGATTCATGAGGCAAGAATCCAGCATTTTGGAGTTGTGTGCATTTGTGTGCGTGTGTGTGTGTGTGTGTGTGTGTGTGTGTGTAATATAAGGATTATACTGAATGGCAAAATGACTAGAGTCATACAGAAATCTACAAATGCTGCCCAACTCAGACTCAGTCCTCAAGAAATACTGTGGAAAGCAAATTTAATGATATTGCATTTTATTAAAAGGTTGTATTCAAAAAGTATTTATGTAATGTTAAAATAGCAGAATTAAAACTAATTCTAAAAAATAAGAGTAAATTTTTTTGTCAGCTAAAAATGTAGGGTCATTATTGACATTACTATACATAGGGTTACAGATCAACCTGCATGATTTTAAATCATGGGATACTTAAAAATTATTTCAGTTATTTGAATTATTTCAGATTGTATACATAAAGTGTGACTTCATTAATATTTAATATCACACTATTTAAAATTTACAAAATTAGTGGGTCACAGAGGCTCGTGCCTGTGATCTTAACACTTTGGAGGCCAATGGAGGAGGATTGCTTGAAGGCAGGAGTTCAACAGCTGCCTGGGCAACAAAGCAAGACCCCATCTCTACAACATAAAAATAAATTAGTGCATGGTGGCACGCCTGTAATCCCAGCTACTCTGGAGGCTGAGGTGAGAGGAGCGAGCCCAGGAGTTCAGGGCTTCAGTGGGCTAGGATTGTGCCACCGCGCTCGCTCCAGCCTAGGCAACAGAGCAAGACCCCACCTCTAAAAATAAATAAATAAATAAATAAATTTTACAAAATTTTAAAAATCACATGAGATATTTCAGGTTTGTACTTGCCACAAACAAACTAGGGATTTGAAGAATTAAACATTTTATTTTACTTACAGTCTGTACTGGCACATAGTAAGTAGTCAGTAGGTGTTAACAATTAGTGTTATTGTTATTTTCTGGAGACCAACTAACAAATCCCATAGCGGATGACACCACAGGGATGAAACCAACAAGATCCAGAATATGGGAACTTCCACTAGATAACTCCATTTTTTTAGCAACAATTCAAAGACAGACAGAGAGAGAGAGAGAGAGAGAGAGAAAGAAGAGAAGAGAAGAGAAGAGAAGCTATACATTTTTAAAAGGCTGAAGAAATATATGAACCAAATTGATATGAGGCAATCAGAAAAATTGACACCGACTGTATTAAGGAAATAGCTAATTTTAGTGTGGTAATAGCATTGCTGTTATGTTTCTAAAAAGTCATTATACTTTAGATTTTCATAATAAAATAATTATGAATGAAGTATGGTATCTGAAAGTATCTTCAGAATAACCCAGTGTGCATGTATGATTAATTGGGTGGGTTTACAAAATTGCCCATGAATTGATCATTGTTAAAGCTTGGCTGTTAAAACATGGCACTCTTCTCTCTAACACTGTTGAAGTTTTCTGTAATACAAAGTTTTTTAAAAAATGCATTCCAGGAAAGTCCCATAAACATAGGCAGAGAAACATTCTGTTTGAAGTTATGTTAGTTTTTAGGCTTTTCTCATTTTTATCACAGTTGGGAAATCCTAAGTATCCAAATCCTGCCTAAGACTATAGGAACCTCTCAAAAATGCAACTCTAAAGAATGTGTATGCAAGAACTAATAATAGCAAAGGAAAGCAAAGTACTTTTTCCTTTATTATTGGCTGTACTAAGCCCCCAGACTTGTTTATATATTCCTTAATTCATCAAAACTGCAAAAATGGTCTTTGAGTACCATTATAGCAATAAGTACCATACTTTGTTATACGTATCATTAAAATAATGTGAAAAGAGATACATTCATTGTCTTCATAGAACTTACACTCTAGTGGGAAGAAATATACATATATTACATAATTCCACAAACATATAATTACAAACTCTGAATAATTTATAAAGGAAAAGAAAACAAGGTAAAGTGAGAGAGTGTTGCACAGGAACCAGGTATAATTTGGGGGAGATTAGAGGTGGCTCGAAGAAGTGTATCTTGAGATGAAATAAGATGGTATACAGTAGGTAAAGGACAAGGTTGAGGCAGTCAGAGCAAATGTTTGAGAAACTCTTACAACACGAAAGAGAAGATGAGAATAAAATAACATGAAAATTATCACAGATTTAATATGGAAAGCTCATGTAACAGCAAACAAGTTTAAAGTCTTTCTAATTAGAATTCTTAATCTGTAAGAGTAATAATAGAATGCTATAAACAATTGGAAAATTTAATAGGAAGGTTGGAAAACTAAGTCAAGAAATATGAAAAGGCAAAAATTGTACCTACCACACATAGTTTTATTAGAAGTTGACTAAGAATATTACTTAGTAAAGTGGAATTGTTAATCAGGAAATGGGAAGATAAGGAATCCAGAAAACTGAATTTAATGCAGGACCTCACTGAAAAGGGATCCTATTACAGCAGTTCCTTGGCAAGCAAAGAACGTCTGATACATGAGTGATATTTAGAAAATGATAAACTATTTTTTTCAATTTTTAGAATTAAGCTACGAGCAAAGCCCAAGTATGCTTATTGTTACAGCAGAATGTCAAAATGGTCAGCTTTGACAATATTGAAAAAAGGGTGCCTGTATCTCATTTTGGCAAGTGGAAGCATAAAGTGTAGGGGAAAGGAAGGGTATCAATGCCAATAACTTCATCTCCCAAGAAGCAGAAAAGAGACATTGCCCATAGTTAAGGAAGAAATCACAAAGATCACTACATTTAAATTACATTTGTACCAAAAGAATTATGTAAGATGGCTCATGAATTAAAGCAGGGTTTTAGAAAATTGGACTATCATTCAGTCAAAAAGTCTTCAACCTAACCCCCAGGGAGTTCTGAAGCTGTAAGATCCCTTCAGATTTGGCTCAATTTAGGGAAAGGGTTTAGGACATTTATACCCCAACACTGACCAGTCATTATAGGTGGGTTCTTCCTGGGAAGTGGAGTAAAATCTGATGAGGCTGCTTTCATCACCTAAAGCAATTCTGGGGGATGACTGACAGCTAAGGGCTGTCAGCCAGCAACATTCCCAGCAGTGAGAGAATAAATCCTTCAGTCCCAAAGGGAGGAGTTTAGGTAGAACAGAACAGCATCCACAACAGAAACGGTGTTCTAGTTCCTGGGAATACGTATATATTCATGTAGAAGAAAACAAACAAACAAACAAAATATATATATAGTTTTATTTTGCAGTCTCGCTCTGTCACCCAGGCTGGAGTGAAATGGTGTGGTCTCGGCTCACTGCAACCTCCGCCTCCTGGGTTCGAGCAATTCTCCCACCTCAGCCTCCCAAATAGCTGGGACTACAGGAGAATGCCACCATGCCCGGCTAATTTTTGTATTTTTATTTTTATTTTATTTTATTTTTTATTTTTATTTTTATTTTATTTTATTTTTTTTTTTAGTGGACACAGGTGCAGAATGCAACTAAACCTATGTCATGTTAGATTTCGCTAATGTCTTTTTTTTTTCTTTTTTTTTTTTTTTTGTATTTTTTTTTTTATTTATTTTTATTTTTTTATTGATAATTCTTGGGTGTTTCTCACAGAGGGGGATTTGGCAGGGTCATGGGACAATAGTGGAGGGAAGGTCAGCAGATAAACAAGTGAACAAAGGTCTCTGGTTTTCCTAGGCAGAGGACCCTGCGGCCTTCCGCAGTGTTTGTATCCCTGATTACTTGAGATTAGGGATTGGTGATGACTCTTAACGAGCATGCTGCCTTCAAGCATCTGTTTAACAAAGCACATCTTGCACCGCCCTTAATCCATTTAACCCTGAGTGGACACAGCACATGTTTCAGAGAGCACAGGGTTGGGGGTAAGGTCACAGATCAACAGGATCCCAAGGCAGAGGAATTTTTCTTAGTGCAGAACAAAATGAAAAGTCTCCCATGTCTACTTCTTTCTACACAGACACGGCAACCATCCGATTTCTCAATCTTTTCCCCACCTTTCCCGCCTTTCTATTCCACAAAGCCGCCATTGTCATCCTGGCCCGTTCTCAATGAGCTGTTGGGCACACCTCCCAGACGGGGTGGTGGCCGGGCAGAGGGGCTCCTCACTTCCCAGTAGGGGCGGCCGGGCAGAGGCGCCCCTCACCTCCCGGACGGGGCGGCTGGCCGGGCAGGGGGGCTGACCCCCCCCCACCTCCCTCCCGGACGGGGCGGCTGGCCGGGCAGAGGGGCTCCTCACTTCCCAGTAGGGGCAGCCGGGCAGAGGCGCCCCTCACCTCCCGGATGGGGCGGCTGGCCGGGCGGGGGGGCTGACCCCCCCACCTCCCTCCCGGACGGGGCGGCTGGCCGGGCGGGGGTAATTTTTGTATTTTTAGTAGAGACGGGGTTTCACTATGTTGGCTAGGTTTGTCTTGAACTCCTGACCTAGTGATCCGCCCACCTCGGCCTTCCAAAGTACTGGGATTACAGGCGTGAGCCACGGCGCCCCACCCAAATAAATGTTTTTTTTTTAATTCATCATCTATTTAAAAAATAAAAATAGAACTACCACATCATCCAGCAATTCCACTGCTGGGTACATCTGCAAAGAAAATGAAATCAGTGTATCAAAGAGGTATCTGTACTCCCATGTTCATCGCAGCACTACTCACAATGGCCAGGAGATGTTAACAACTTAAGTCTCAATCAGCAGATGAGTGTATAAGGAAACTGTGGTCCATATACACAATGGAATACTATTCAGCCTTGTAAAGGAAGGAAATCTTTTACATTTTTTACAACATGGATGAACCTGGAAGACATTATGTTAAGTGAAATAAGCCAGGCACGGAAAGACAAATACTGCATGACCTCACTTACCTGTGGAATCTAAAAAAGTCAAAATCATGGCAGGTCGGGGAGTGGGGGTAGCAGGGAGGGGGACAAGGAGGAATGAGAAGATGTTGGTCAAAAGGTACAAAGAAGGGCAGGGTGTGGTGGCTCATGCCTATAATCCCACCACTTTGGGAGGCTGAGGCAGGTAGATTGGTTGAGCACAGGAGTTCAAGACCAGCTGGGCAGCATGGTGAAACCCTATCTTTACAAAAAATGCAAAAACTAGCCAGGCATGGTCACACATGCCAGTAGTCCCGGCTACTCCAGAGACTGAGGTGGGAGGATGGATTGAGCCCGGGAAGTGAAGGCTGCAGTGAGCTGTGATCGTACCACTGCACCCCAGCCAGACCTAGACCCCGTTTCAGAAAAAAAGTACAAAGTTTCAGTTAGGCAGGAGGAATAAGTACTGAAGATCGATTGTACAGCATGGTGACTACGGTTAATAATAATGTACAGTCGTCCCTCGGCACCCACGAGGGATTTGTTCCAGTACCCTCTCTGTATACCAAAATCTGAGAATGCTCAGGTCCCTTATTAAAAACGTCTTAGTTTTTGCATATAAACTAAGCCTATCCTCCTGTATACTTTAAATCATCTCTAGATTATACTTAGAATACCCAATGTAATGTAAATGCTATGAAAATAGTTGTTATGCTTTATTGTTTTTGAATCGGAATTATTTTTATAGTTATATTGTTAGTTTTCATTTTTTTCTAAATATTTTCAACCCACAGTTGAATGAATGAGAGGATGTGAAACCCACAGATATAGAGGGCCAACTGTATTGTATATTTGAAAATTGCAGAGAGAGATTTTAAATATTCATACCACCAAAAAGTGAAGTGATGGATATGTTAATTAGCCTGGTTTAATCACATGTATCAAAAAAATCACACAGTACCCTGTAAATCCACAGTGATTTATCAATTAAAAATAATTAATGAGTTCAAAATTCTTTTGGAGTGTAACATCCTTAACTTTTTCTTGTTCAAATAAAGTTTTCTGTTTTTTTATTTTTTTAATTTGTTTTAAAAAATCATCTCTTAACTTCCATTAACTCAGTTGATTCACCCTATTAACTTAAGGACTCTCTTCTTCCTTAAGTTAAACATTTCATGATAATCAGGAAGGGCAAGGTTATGCTGCAATAAGATCTTAACCCACAGTAAAAAGTAGATCTCAGTGACTTAACTCAATAAGGAGACTTAATTCCACCGTTATTCAAATGACTCAGATTATGGAGTTTCCAGCATCTCATACACCACCATGCACCTACTTGCAAGTTCCATTGGTTACTGTTAGTCAAATGTCCCCAACCTAACAGCGGAAAAGACTGAGAAATGTACAGGAGCTTTGGAATACTGGTAAGCATCACTGTCTCCAAAAGTTATACTGTTATTATCTAAGGTAAGGACAAATGCTCAAGACCAGTAGGTTGTCCTCTAGAACACCCACACGCTTTCCTCCAAGTTATATGCTGAGTAAGACTCAGTTCTTTGTGTTAGCAAACTTATTTATAGACGATGTACTTATTATTTTAATTAATTATCCATTAAAGATTATACTATCCAATGAAATCTGGGTGCAAAACATAGTTGTTTCTATGAAACTGTCAATGGAAGAAAGAGAAGACGATTTTGACCCTCTCGTTAATAAAGAATCTTCCAGCATGTGTGCTCAGTGTGACAATGTTGAACTGTAAGAATGTCCTAGAATATAATCTATCACCCACCCCAATTATAGGGCTTATGCTTCAACTAGAAAAATCAGATCTCGATGTTCCCCTAAACTTTGAGTCTTGTTCAATCCCTAGCCCTGCCTCTTCCCTTTGCAGGGCCAAAAGCCAGGAGCTACACACAGAGACTGAGGACACGCTGGACAACCCAGCACATGCCTTCCCCATTTCCCCAAAAGTGTTACTCCCTTTTGATCCCTATGGTGAATGACAGTGCCCACCCTGAGGAAGAGGACAAAATCGGCACAAAACTTTTGACTCCATTCAGAATTTTGCTTGGGGAAAATTCAGACTATAACCCTGGGGAGCAGAATCTCAAGTGTTGGTGCCTCTTTGTGCGCCAGTGTCCCTGTCTGAGGACCTGCATGACAGCCTGGAGTACAGGAGATGAAGGTCCCAAGGAGACCTAGTTCTCCACTCTGACCTCATCCATAAGAAGGAAGAGCCTGCCAAAGACTCCTCACGCCCAGTGTGTGGGTGAGGGAGAAAGGAAGATGGGATGTCTGCTTTCAGGGTCATGGCCTTACATAACCTCGCAGAAGCTCCCAGACTCTGGCTTCATGACGAAACTCAGAGACTGAGATGTAGACCAGCTTCAGGGCTGGGCCCACATCAAAGGGGCCACAGTGTGTAGTGACCTCCCTCATAACCGGGAAAAGAGTGTCATCAGGAATCAACAGGTTACAACGTCTATGACAAAGGGAGCTCAGACAAGGAGTGGAATGACTATGAACAGGCACCCCCAATGAGGGACCCTAGAACCAGAGGGAGCTCTGCCATTTGTCCTGTGGGCTCCACAAGAAACAAACTGCCCCTTATACCCCTCCACTGTGAGGAGGCTGTGGAGGCTGAGGTGCTCCACATGGCTGGTGTAGACATCTGCACACTGGAAGTCATTTCCAGGACCACAAGGATCTGGAAAATCCAGTCCTCCTTCCTAATAAGAGCGATGGACACAATGCTGGCTGTCAGCATCCCGTGCACAGGACAATGTGTTTGAGAGGTGTGCATGTTACCCAGGCTTGGCCAATCAGAATCTTTCCTAAAGTTGTTAAAACTCTGGTAGACATTCTAGAAACATATATTAACAGAGACAGACAAACAGACACACACACACACACACAGCAAGAGAGAGAGATGAGATAAGATATGAAGTGATAAGGAAGAGAAATGCAGAAAAATAGATGCAAAAAGAAACACGGAGATAGAAAAAATGCAGATAAACAGTGACCATGGATTAGAAAAATAGAAAGGCAACAATGTAGTGAAAGACACAACAAGGGGGCAGAGACAAAGATGCAGAGAGACACGCAGAAAGAACTATACAGGGACAAAGAGACACAGAAAGAGAGGCAGATTCACAGATAGAGATATAACAGAAAGAGAGGTGAAGATCTCATTGTGTATCTGGAACTAGTCACTTCTGAAATCAACTTGACTCTAGGCTTCCTTTGCACCATGAACAAAATATATTTGGGTTTCTATCATTTAGAATCAAAAATAATACTTTTATTGCTGGTTATGCTTTCTTAAAAGTAAAAATTATTCTTGATTGATGTGACTTGCCAGAATGTTTGAAACACCAGTGACCAAGGGTCACTATATCTGCCCCCAAACAATTCCACCATGTTTACTTATATAGCACTCACCAAACCAGAAGAGAGGCTGGGATATTCTCAGGCCACTGCACTGAACATCAATATGAAAGAACCATGAATGATGCAACAACTGAGTTGATTTTCTACCTCCTCTGCCCACCATGACTTTGCACCCCAAATTCTTTCAGTGTCTTTTCAAGGTACAACCCTCCTTCTGGGCACAGGTTGGCTGGGTCACCTCAAGGTATGTTCCTTCATTCTGCAGTGATTTCCTGCCTCTGCTCAATTAAGGAAGTTCAGAATACAGATAACTCAGGATCATGTTTAATTATGTAAAAAAGCTCTAAAGTCAGGTAATGGTTTTCATGTGCTTCTCTTGAGCAGTCTGAGGAGAGAATAGAAACAGAAACCCCTTGGGGCCTGAGTAGATGCAGCTGGCCGTGCACAGGCAGAGGCTGTGGGTCAGTGCAGGAAGTAGGGTCACAGCCATCCGCCTCAAGGTGGGGATGAAAGGAGATGACCTGGTGGCTGCGTGACAGCCACTGTAGGACTCTGATCTCAGGGGGACAGGCTGACACAGACAGCTGGGAATTCTGGGCAGGGACAAGCAGGCGTTACAGAAAAGTGATAACCAATCCCAGTTAAAATAGTCTCAGGAGTCAGTGCAGGAGCCCTGAAGAAGAGAGAAGAGGGATGATCAGCACAGGGTACGCTGGTGGGCCTGCCATCTTCCCCACCCCTCAGGGGCCTCCTGCAGCTTCAGACAGACAAAGCTGAGGTCCAGAGTGTATTGTCATCACCTCCCCCAAGATCTGTGCAAAGGTGAAATCAGCTCATGAAGACACAGAACTTCAGCTTGATGCAGATGTGTGGGAGGTGGGGGAACAGCTGTTACTCTTCTGGTGAATATGAAGGGTTCAATCTTTTTAGGAAATTGGATGATACCTCATCCCTACCACTAGCAGCCTCTTTCAGTCACTGGAAAATGCCTACAGGCAGTAGCCACCATCATGTGGCACAAAGTGGGCATCATCCTAGTGTCTAACATTTAAGCCGTGGTTCTGGCTCCACATTTAACAGGAAGATACCACCAAAGTTAAGGCTTGGTTCTGGGGAACAACCTCTGGAGATTCCTAGAAACTGGCAAACTTCACCCCTAAGTCTTGATCCTCATAGCAGCAAATATACCATGAACAGAGACCACTACTGTCAGGTACACTCAGCTCATGCTCTTCCCTCTTACACCTGTGCCCTCCCCACACTGGATCACGGCTGAAATATTACCTGCTGGTGGAGGCCCTTGAGGTCTTACAAAAGGAAGTTATGCAGAGAAAGGTCTCATTACATGAACAGCCACTCTCTCACCCCAAAGGAAAATGACACATGTGACTTAATTAGAGTTATATTCTCTTCCCATTCATGTTCTTCAAGTCCTTAAGCACCCTAATTTAAAATCCCCTAAAATAAAGGAAATTGTCACTAGAAGGCAAGGAGGCCGAGGCTCTGACCCTCTTAATGGAGGAAGTTTTTGGAAAGGAGCCAGTGAGACAATGATGAATGGTAAGGATGCCCTGGAATAAGCTCTATCAGTCAGCTCTGTGACAGGGCTACCCTTCAGCTAGTAAAATCAGATTCCAATGCCTCCTCCAACCTTGTCCTGTCTCCTTCCACTTCCAGCTCAGCTTTCTTCCTCTCAGGGTCAGGAGGAAAGAGCTACATCTAGAGACAGGACCTCTCTGAACAGAGGGTCTGGGTCACAGGCCATCTTCCCCTTTTCCCCTGGGGTTCCTCACCTTTCTGACTCCTGTGATGGATGATAAGGCCCAGCCCGAGGAAGATCAGCCCCAGCACGAAGCCTCCAATGCCACTCAGCATCTTGCTCTGGGCAGATTCAGATTGAGCCCCTGAGAAGCAGAGCCTGAGTGTCAGTGTTTGTCCCCATACCCCATAGTTTCCCTGATGAGGAGCTGAAGTCCAGTCTGAGATGCAGGAGGTGAAGGCATCAAAGGAACCTAGTTCTCCATTCAGACCACCCCTAAGGGAGGGAAAGGCCAGCCAATAGGTCCTTGGATACAGTGAGTAGGTGACAGAGTGGGGAAGCAGATCTCCACTCCTCAGGAACTCATCCATAAACTTAGACCCTAAGATCCCAGTCACCAGCCCTAATAATCAGTTCCTCAGAGCAATCAGGACTGGGATCCAGAGCAACAGTATGTAGAGTAATTTCCCTAGCATCTGGAAAGGTGATGAGATCAGGATTCTTCTGATGCACTCGCCATGGAACTAGAGGTGCTCTAGTCTCCTGTGATTCCCAGCTCAGCAGTGACATCAGGGATAAGAGATGGGAAGGGATGGGTCAGAAGGAGCTCTGTCCTTTGTCTTGTGGGGCCCACAGTAACAGAAACTCAATATCCCCTTACGCCACTCCACGGTGATGGGGCTCTGGAGGCTGGGGTGCTCCACGTGGCAGGTGTAGACGTCTCCACGCTGGGGAGTCATTTCCAGCATCACCAGGATCTGGAAGGTCCAGTCACCATTCCTAATAAGGGGGGTGGACACAACGCCAGCTGTCTCCTCCTGGTCATTCCGAAACCACCGGACTTTGATCTGGGCTGGATAGAAATCTGTCACCGAGCAGACCAGCAGGTTGTGGTGGTTGAGGGCCTCTGTCCTGGATGGGGAGATGGTCACTGTGGGCTCCACTGAGGGCAGTAACAGACAGGGAAAGATATAGGAGTGAGATGTGAGACCACACAGCATGCCTGCTGTGAGGAAGGTCCCTCCTTGGAACCAGAGTGGAAAGATACTTGGAGTCCAAGTCTTGGATTAAGGTTCCTTCAACAAATATAAATATAACAATCACTGAGAATCCAAAGACAAACAACATACCATGGTCCCTGCCTTTATAAAATGTGCAACCTAGTAACAGACAGCAAAAAACAAAAAGAATGTTATTTCAAAAGTTTGTAATATTTGAAAAAAATTTAGGCAGGCCTTGAAAACAAATAACACTGATCAAACATCATGTTTGCCCGTAACTCGATTCCTTTATCTTCTCAGATTGCTGCTCATAGTAAAAATACTACACCCCTTTACACATCTCATCCTTTACCTTTCAGGCCACTTTATTGCATTTCCTTTATTCTCTTAGTGTGAAACTATAGTAAATATTTAATGTATGCTTTCTTTATTTAGTAATATGTTCTCTCATTTTCTTTTTTCCTTAATTTCTTTTTATCACACAAGTGAGTTTAATTACAGCTGTCTACCCTACTCCATCCCCTTGCTATTGAGAATTACTTTCTTCTTCTGAAATCAGGCATTATTATGTATGTTCTCCATAGAAAATATTCTGAGATCTGTGCAGTGGTCGGTCTGGGTTAATGATCCTGTAATGTGAACACATAAATATAGCTGGGATTTGCTGAGGTCACCAGGTGGCACCCCAATTAAATGGCACTCATGAGCCATCATCTGGAAGAAATCACGGTTTCTGCTTGGACTTGAACTTTTCTTTAGGTTCTCCTTCCTGGAGTCCAACAGAAATAACAGTCAGCTATGTGGCCTTATAAGATTTGTTCATCTTAAACAGATTGGGAGTAAAAATAGAGGGCATAAATTTATGAGAAAAGATGATAAAATAAATTTTATGGAAATGGAACTGAAATAGCAAAAACATAAGTATTTGCTGGCATTAGGATGTGAATCAAAAGAAGGCAAGGGAGTATTAAGTAAACTAAAGGTTTTGCAAACCTGCATAGATAACACTGGGGTCAGACTAGGGATTGATTAATCATGAATTTTCAATGCCTTGAAAGTATCATTTTGTCCCATTAACATGGAAAACACACAGGAATAGACTCATTGCTGCTTCTGGTCAAAACTGGCTTTAACGAGGCTTTACGTCCCTTAGACTCTATGGATGTGTAGTGAAGAACACAAAGAATGTTGTGTACTTTGGGAGGCTTAAGGTCTTGGTGAGCAATTATGGGCTGATTACTTAAAGTGTTTATCATGTACCAATATTAGCCTACAGTGACCATCTCCCCATCCATGACCAATAAAGTGTTTATCATGTACCAATATATAAAGTGGTGATGCTAATCTCTGATGCACAAGTAACTGTGAGATTAAATGACGTAACATAGATGGTATTTGATAAGGCAACTGTCTAGAAATAAATGCTCACTAAATGGGTAAAATTGACTTTCAGAATGTTTATTCCTGAAGTGGATAGTCATGGGGGGAGGGGAGAACCTAGGCCAAAAGCAACCCGAAACTATTTTTATCCAATAATTTAATGGCTTCAATCTATTTATTCCAAAACTTTTGCTCTTTGCATTGTGCCATTTGTTCAGCTTTTCTAAGAAATTAAAAGTGCCGGCCGGGCACTGTGGCTCACACCTGTAATCCCAGCACTTTGGGAGGCCGAGGCGGGCGGATCATGAGGTCAGGAGATCCAGACCATCCTGGCTAACACGGTGAAACCCCGCCTCTACTAAAAATACAAAAAAATTAGCCGGGCGTGGTGGCACGCGCCTGTAATCCCACCTACTCAGGAGGCTGAGGCAGGAGAATGGCGTGAACCCGGGAGGCGGAGCTTGCAGTGAGCCGAGATCGCGCCACTGCACTCCGGCCTGGGCGACAGAGTGAGAATCCGTCTCAAAAAAAAAAAAAAAAGAAAAGAAAAGAAATTTAAACTGCCTTACAATATCTTTCAAGCGTTGTTTTTATTTTTAGCAAAAACTTTTTTCCTCAGATTTTGTATTCACAAACTCTATTAAGATCCAAGTCAATAAGAGTTTACTTTAAAGCATTAAGCAAAATTATAGAAAATAATTAATAAAGTCCATTTTTAAGGCTCTGTTTACCTCTTTTTTTTTCTTGAGCCTAAGTGGATGGGCAGCTGAGTACATTTATTCATTAATTTAACAGAAGATCATTGAGCTCACACCACATACCAGTCAATGTGTCAGGTACTAGGCATGCAATGATTAAAACACCCTCACCTCAAAGATCTCTGCCATGAATGAGAGCCATTTAAGAAAACAGAATTACGATGAATAATGATTTGAAGCCAAAAGTTAAAATATCTTATTTCACAACTGTAATTGCTGAATGTCCTGCGCGCAGTTGTGGAACAGCCCTAACTCCACCAGGCTAAGCCTGAAGCTTCCTGCTGCAAGAGCTGTGCACGTGGGCCTTGCTGGGTGGGGCAGTGCTAGTGGGGCGGGCGGGCGGGCAGGGGAAGAGGGCGGGCATTCTGAGCAGAGAGAGCTGCTTAGCAAAGGTAAGGCAAAAGGAGGCAAATGCATAAGGCACGAGGCAAGAACATGCAGAGCAGAGGACAAGGCCGACGAACGGGTAGGCTGGGGCGACACTAGGCAGCCTGGCCAACTCTGCCTGTCCCCCTGCTCTGCCCTAGGTCCCCGCACCTCCGATGCACCTGCCCCCACCACTCTCGCCGCTGCCTCCTGTCCTCTGGGGTGGAACAAACGGGGCTCAGGTTCCAGAGGCCACGACCCTTCGCCCCTCCTGGCGCAGAGACTTGGGGCCAAGGGTGGGCCTCGCAGAGGGGCGACGCCGCTCACCTCGCCGCTGCAAGGTCGTGCGGAGCTCCAACTGGTAGTTGTGTCTGCACACCCTGTCCACCGCCGCCCGTTTCCTCTCCAGGATGTCCTTCTGGCTGTTCCAGTACTCGGCGGCAGGCAGCCCCAGCAGCGTCACCGCCCGGAACTCCCCCACGTCGCTGTCGAAGCGCACGATCTCTTCTCGGTTATAGATGCTTCTGCTCACAAGACGCACGCGCTCTGTCCCGTTGGTGAAGTAGCACATGCCCTTAAACTGGTACACGAAATCCTCTGCGAGGAATCACCGGCCAGTCAGTGCGGCCCAGCCCGTCCGCCCCCGCAGCCGCCACCCTGACCCGGCCCGGAGCTGTGGAACAGCCCGCGCGACCACAAGTTCCCGCCGGCCCGTGCCTCGCGCTGCAGACCTGGGATCCTCCCGGCGGCTCTGCCCAGCCCTGCCCGCCCTCTCGGGGGTCTTCGGGAATCCGCCTTCCTACAGGCAGGAAAGGGAGGAAAGCCCTGTCCCTGTCTCGGCCTGTGAACCAAGTGAAGAGGCAGTCGGGCTGATTTTACATGGACCTCTGCACTTAGAGGGATCAGGGCGTTCTCGCATGAAATCTCATTTTCCATGGAGCTCCTGGGTACCTCAGAGATAAAGTTATCCACATAAACCTGACAGTTCAAGGGAATGACGAGACAGGTCCAGGAATTAAACCTGTCCTCTTCCGATACGCCTATTCTCTTGGTCCCTGGGTAAAATACCTTCCTTCCCATGCCTGGATTTACCCTCCCAAGTGCCCTGTGAGGTTCACTCACGTCTGTGTTAGAAAGAAGGGAGTCCTAGATCTCTGAGTCCTAGAAAGAAACATTTATTCACCGAAAGAGCACAAGCTTTTGAATTTGATAAACTAGATTCCCATTAAACTGTGGCAGTCACCAGCCCGGGCAGTTTATGTAACAGAATATCCATATCACAAGTATAATTGTGTAAAAGAAAATCATGATATCTACACACAGGATGTTAGAAGGAGTGAGAGAGAATTTATGTAAAGTATTGTTCTGTGTCTGAAATGAGTGGTTTCACAGTATGTGTTATTTCCCTTCTTTACATCCTCCTTTCTACTAAATTTAGTCCATCATCAACTCGGGTATCTGAATCCCACTCAGGTCACCATTTGCCCATAAATCAGTGAAACCTGAAGGCTCTCTTTCTGTGGTCAGCCAGTCAGCTTCCCTCAGTACCAAGATTTTGCCTCCACAAACGCTCCACTGGGTCAGGAATACAGACAACTTTTCCCCAAATACGGAGACTACAGACACCATTGCTGCCTTGCATTTCCCAATGCAGGAAATCATAATATTTAGTCCAGGCAAGTCTTGGGACACGCCTAAATGGCAAATCCTGCTGTGTCTTTGGAGAAATTCATATCTTCAAAAATAACCCCATGCTCACTTTGTCCTATCACTGGTAGTAAATGAACACTTTGTCTCCTCTTTTCTCTCCTCTCTCCTCCTCTTCCAGGCTTAAGCCTGTAGGATGGGATTGGATTGTCCTCACTTCATCATTAAAAGATAAATGGAAATGCAACATAGCTCTCTTTCCCAAAACAGAGGAAATGTTGATAAAAGATTGTGTCCGAGATTATGGAGATCACCATCCCCGTACCCCAGCCCAAGGAGAGCCTGTTCCCAGAGTAGCGGCTCTGGAGAGCAGCTGCCCTGCACTTACCGGGAGAGTCTCTGCCCTCAGCCACTGGGGTGCTCAGCATCGACAGCATCAAGGTCACAGTTGCTGCCCGAAGGCCTCCGGGGATCCGCAAAGCCTTTTTCCAAGACATAATTGAGACGAAGGGAAAAGTGGTAGTCAACACAGCTCGGACCTGATGGATCTGATGTACCTGGCAGAAAGAATAAAAATCTGTGGATGTTTCCATGCGTGGTAGGATTGGATGGTCCCTTGGAAAGGAACCAATCAGCACTGGAGCTGAAGGACCTCATCTGTCTCTGGGCAGATTTTTTTTTTGTGAAGGTTCTGAATCCAGTGCCTGGCACTGTGACGTCTTTCAATTGCACTGGATGAACATTTGAGGTGAAAATTTCCTCTCAATTATGGAAGAGCTGAAGATTGAATGCCTAAGGGATTTTAAGAAGCCAAAGAAAAATGCGATTCAACAGTAAACATCTTTGTAATATTGATTAAAAACCAGTTGTTCTTATACTTGGGATTCTTTCAATAGGGCAAATTAAGTGGGGATCATATTTCAGGGGAGAGAAAATTGCTGTCATAGACATTTTTACTGCTGTTGTCTTAGACACACCCTGAGGAGCCTTAAGTTTTGGTGAAAAGAGCAAAGTTCTTAGAAGGAAATAATGGTGAGTTGCAGTTCCACCACTAATGTGCTTTATGAGAGTCAACAAATTACTGAATTTATTTTTGCCCCAGGCTTCTCTTTGTAAAATGTGGATCATGTTTCATGCATTTTACATCTAGATCTTCACATATACAAATTTAAGATTAATATGACTTGTTTAATGTTACAAAAGGATCCTCAACTGTTATGTGTAACTATCAGGTTAATATGTGGAACAAGAAAACAAGCCAAAAAAAATTGACACCCATCCCTGCTGGTAAATGATTCTTCATTACGCAAGAATATATTGTATTTATACTCTTCGAGTGAAAGTATTTGAAAAGTTAATTAAGTTGACATTCCTTTTCTAAGTTCTTCAGCTGTTTAAATCCTCTCTGAACCATGAAATAGGTGCATCTGATATCAGCAAAGGCACAATACACAAACCTTTACAGTATTCAGATATAGTCATGTCTAGATTTGAGGAGAGAGAGCAAAAGCTGTGGAGAAGCATTTCCTAGGTCCTGAATAGTATTAATGATGGAGAAAATGTTTAGAGTCACAGATTGTACTGTGCCAGCCCTAAACATCAAATCCCAAGTGGCAGAGGTATCAATGTGGTTTTTTTCAATTCTATGTATTTTTTATTTAACAGTTCCTCATGGACATATCTACATCAATGTGTTTTTATAAATAAGCATAACTTATCAAGCTCCTCTTGGCAGTGACTAGGGACAGTACTAATGGTTATAAAGCAATTAGAACAATGCCTGGCAAACATTACTTCTGACCCCAACCAAGACAATAAATATCTCCACCTCTCTTCTTCTCTCCCTTTCTCTCTTTCTTTTCCCAAAATTTTAGGTTCTGCTTTTAAAGTAGAGAATACAATCTAAAATCAGAATATAAGTTTACCAGGTAAAAAGAAGCAGGGAAGAGGCAACAGCAAGAGGTTTGCAATAGTGGCACATGAAAGCGTTGAGCCACTCCAATATTCTGTATTATTCACAGCATAATTCTAGAGCACCTGAGACTGGGAAAGTTGCCACTGGGCGTCCAGCAGCAGTGGTTTACTCAGGATCAGGGTAAACCCAGCCTAAGGATGGTCTCCACTGCTGTGATGGACACATAAAGGAGGAACCATACTCACACCTGGAATGGAGTTGGGGCAAGGAAGAGTAGGCAGAGAGACCTGAAGCTGCCCTCAATGTCCTTCCTCAGCCCCCACCTCAGTGTCCCTCAGAATAGAGGCCTCTAATCCATCCTTTCCTTCCTGTCTAAGGGAAAAACTTCCCACAGGTTTATTCTGAGGCAACTGCTACGCCAGACCTGGGGATTCCTCAGTCTCACAGGCCTCTTCGCACAGACTTTTCAGCTAGCAACAAGTGTCACTTTAGAGCCTTTTTCTGATTGGCTAAAACCTCACTGGAAAGGTTTTGCTTTGGGCTTCTGCCAGTTGTGTCTGCCTGGCCCAGCCTTCTGTACAGTTGACTACCCTGGCCCTATCCCTGCTGCATTATTCAGGGCATTCAGGCAGAAGAAGGCCAGAGAAGAAAGAAACTAGGTCAAGCATCCTTATTCCGAGTGTCTCACCTGAATCGCCTGCCCAGCCTCTGTGGAGGCAGAGCAATTAGAGCATTTACCCCATGTGGGTAAATGGGCTAAAAAGCCACTGCCATTAGTAGGGACGGTCAGGGTTACAGTAGGCAGACTCAATTCAAGGGACATCCTCTCTTCCTTCAGGTTGGAAGGAAAAGTTGTGGACTCCTTCTTTGTGAAAATCAAGGGAGAAATCATCTTCTCTGGTCAACATCTCTTGGAATCTGTGCTTGGTCAGTGGAATTGAATGTGAACATAGGAGCCACCCTGTCACCAGAAGGACCATCCAGGACCCTACCCTGCATTTACTTCAGGAATCAAGAATCACTGTATATTCTGAAAGGTTCTGTGGCTTCCTTAATGCCAATGGTAATATAACTAGAAATGCTGCCCCCAGAATATTGTTTTCCTTTAATTAAAATTTATCAAGCAATTATCCTTAAATTTTTAAAAATCTTTGTGAAGCTTCTTACATATTTCTCTTATATCAACTTCTAGGTAACCAGCTATATATAAGAATTTTTCATGGCACATATAAACTAGGTCCTTTCTCTTGGCACAAAGTTATCTCTTTAAAATCTCAGTCTAGAGAATCTGAAGAAAGAGCCAAATCAGTAGCATTCAGGGGCTGTGTTCAGACAGTGCCTCCCACAAGCAAGTGGCCATGGTGAAACTCCAGGGTGGAAGTCATGTCAGAATTGGAGGATGATGGAGCGTGAAGGAGTAGGAGTATGGGAAAAGCTTTAGCAGGAAGGTAGAAAATCAGGTGATACAAAGCATTTGGAACATTTGAGGGCAAATGAGGAACGTGAGTGATCTTGGCACAGAAGCCCAGACCTCACCAGTCCCACGGCTCCTCATGCTCTATGAAAATAGCCCTTGAAGACCGAAGAAGACTGGGACAAAAACCCAAGCTGCCTGCTGTGGGTATGCTGTACAATGAAGCTTTGTTTCCTGATCTATCTTTTCAGGTTCCTTTTTCCTGTCAGTCTCCTCATCCACGCATTGCCTCAGTTGGACCACTGGTGATTAAACCTCCCAGAGCTAGCCTACACATGTCACTCTTTCCAACACACCTCTGCCTGTCTCTACTTCTGGTTCCCTAGTGATGCCTGGGATATTTCCAGAGACAGCTCTTCCCCCAGCCTCTAGATTAGTAGTCACCATGCTCCTTCATTCCCAGAAAAAACTTAAATATTTCTCTGTGAGATCTTTATAATGTCTCCTTTTTCTGTAAGTTCTTACCAGTAAAGAGAGGCCCTAATGTTCAGCCACATAAAAATATATATAGTTCTTGAGTACTTAAATCCATATCCAAGTACTCAAGAACTCATGTGTCCAAGAACTCAGCTCAAGGCCATGGTTCATGCAAAACAGCAACATCAGCAGTAATATTTTGGGGAGAGTACTCTTATATCATCAAATAGGAAAACTTAAGATATTCCATTTAAACCACAATGACATATCACCTCACATCAGTCAGAATGGCTATTATCAAAAAGATAAAAGATAACAAGTGTTAAGGATGTAGACAAAAGGAAACATTTGTACACTGTTGGTGGGGATGCAGATTAGTACAACCATTATGGAAAACAGTATGGAAGTTCCTCAAAAAGTTAAAAATAGAACTATCATATGATGTAGTAATCCCATTTGCAGGATGTAGACAAAGTATTTAAAATTAGCATGTTGAAAATATACCTATACTCCTATGTTCCTTGCAGCATTATTCACAATAGTCAAGGTATAGAATCAACCTGTGTCATTCAGTGGATGAAAAGATAAAGAAAATGTGGTATATATACACAATTAAATCCTATTCAGGCTTTAAAAAGAAGGAAATCCTGTTGTAAGTCAAAAAGTGACTGAGGTAGGTCTCAATCAATTAAAGGTTTATTTTGCCAAGGTTGAGGAATACACCTGGGAAAAACACAAAACACAGGAGCATCTGTGATCCATGCTTTTGCCAAAGAGGGTTTTGAGAACTTCAGTATTTAAAAGAGAAAGAGCAAGCAGGAGGGGAAGGAGAAAAAAAAGGAGGAAGAGTAGGCCATGATACAAGTGGTTACATTCCTGAGTCTTTGATTAGCTTAAGTAAATCTACATTTTACCTGTGAAAAGAGAGTAGAAGAAAAAGTTAATTATAAATTATCTTATGCTCAGTAAATCTACATTTTACATAAAATTAAGGGAACTTGAAAAGGGGGAAGGAGTAGAGGAAACGAGGTTATGACACGGGGTTGTGAAATTACCGTTATCTGTTTGGGAACAAAAGGAAGACAGTATTGGTGCCTCAGTCCTCAAGATTAACTTTCCCTTGGCATAATGAGTTTGGGGTCCCAAGATTCTATTTTTCTTTCACACTGTTATTTTTGACAACATGCATGAACCTAGAGGACATTAAGCTAAGTGAAATAAGCCAGACATGGAAAGACAAGTAATGCATGATCTTACTTATATGAGGAATCTAAAAAATCCCATTTTTGAATTGAATTGTTTATTTTATTTTATTTTGTTTTATGTTCTAGCGTACATGTGTAGGACATGCAGGTTTGTTACATGGGTAAACGTGTGGCATGGCGGTTTGCTGCAGCTATCAACCCATCACCTAGGTATTAAGCCCAGCATGCATGAGCTATTTATCCTGATGCTGTCCCTGCCCCTACCCCTCACAGGCCCCAGTGTGTGTTGTTCCCCTCCCTGTGTCCATGTGTTCTCATTGTTCAGCTCCCAATTATTAGTGAGAACATGCAGTATTTGGTTTTCTGTTCCTTCATTATTTTGCTGAGGACAATGGCTTCCAGCTCCATCCATGTCCCTGCAAAAGACATAATCTCATTCCTTTTTATGGCTGCATAGTATTCCATGGTGTGTATGAACCATATTTTCTTTATCCAGCCTATCACTGATGGACATTTGGGTTGGTTCCATGCCTTTGGTATTGTGAATAATGCTTCAGTAAACATACACATGCATGTATCTTTATAATAGAATGATTTATATTCCTTTGGGTATATACCCAATGATATGGTTTGGCTGTGTCCCCACCCAAATCTCAACTTGAATTGTATCTCCCAGAATTCCCACATGTTGTGGGAGGGACCCAGGGGGAGGTAATTCGATCATGGGAGCCAGTCTTTCCCATGCTATTCTCATAATAGTGAATAAGCCTCACAATATCTGATGGGTTTATCAGGGGTTTCTGCTTTTGCTTCTTCCTCATTTTCTCTTGCCGCAGCCATGTAAAAAGTGCCTTTCACCTCCCACAATGATTCTGAGGCCTCCCCAGTCATGTGGAACTGTAAGTCCAATTAAACCTCTTATTCTTCCCAGTCTCCAGTATGTCTTTATCAGCAGTGTGAAAACGAACTCATATAGTAAATTGGTTCCAGGAGTGGGGTGTTATTGAAAAGATACCTAAAAATGTGGAAGCAACTTTGGACTGGGTAACAGACAGAGGTTGGAGCAGTTTGGAGGGCTCCAAAGAAGACAGGAAAATGTGGGAAAGTTTGGAACCTCCTAGAAATTTGTTGAATAGCTTTGACAAAAATGCTGATAGTGATATGAACAATAAGGTCCAGGCCAAGGTGGTCTCAGATGGAGATAAGAAACTTGTTGGGAACTGGAGCAAAGGTGACTCTTGCTATGTTTCAGCAAACAGACTGGAGGCATTTTGCCCTTGCCCTAGAGATTCGTGGAACTTTGAACTTGAGAGAGATGATTTAGGGTATCTGGCAGAAGAAATTTCTAAGCAGCAAAACATTCAAGAGGTGACTTGGGTACTGTTAAAAGCATTCCGTTTTAAAAGGGAAACAGAGCATAACAGTTCAGAAAAACTGCAGTCTGGTGATGCAGTAGAAAAGAAAAACCCATTTTTTAGGAAAAATTCAAGCCAGCTGCAGAAATCTGCATAAGTAGCAAGGAGCCTAGTATTAATCCCCAAGACCATGGGAAAATGTCTCCAGGCCATGTCAGAGACCTTCACAGCAGCCCCTCCCATCACGGAACCAGAGGCCCAGGAGGAAAAAGTGGTTTTGTGGACCAGGCCCAGCGTCCCCTTGCTGTGTGCAGCCTAGGGACTTGGTGCCCTGTGTTCCAGCTCCTCCAGCCATGGCTGAAAGAGGCCAATGTACAGCTCAGGCTGTGGCTTCAGAGAGTGGAAGCCCCAAGCCTTGGCAGCCTCCATGTGGTGTTGAGCCTGCGGGTGCACAGAAGTCAAGAATTGAGGTTTGGAAACCTCCACCTAGATTTCAGGAGATGTAGGGAAACGCCCAAATGCCCAGGCAAAAGTTTGCTTCAGGAACAGGGACCTCATGGAGAACCTCTGATAGGGCAGTGTGGAAGGGAAATGTGGGGTCATAGCCCCCAAATAAAGTCCCTACTGAGACACTGCCTAGTCGAGCTGTGAGAAGAGGGCCACCATCCTCCAGACCCCAGAATGGTAGATCCACTGACAGCTTGCACTGTGGGCCTGGAAAAGCCACAGACACTCAAAGCCAGCCCTTGAAAGCAGTCAGGAGAGAGGCTGTACCCTGCACAGCCACAGAGGCAGAGCTGCCCAAGACCATGGGAACACACCTCCTGTATTGGCGTGATCTAGATGTGAGACCTGGAGTCAAAGGAGATCATTTTGGAGCTTTAAAATTGACTGCAGCTGGGTGTGGTGGCTCATGCCTGTAATCCCAGCACTTTGAAAGACCAAGGTGGGCGGACCACGAGGTCAGGAGATTGAGACCATCCTGGCTAACACAGTGAAACCCTGTCTCTACTAAAAATACAAAAAAGTTAGCCAGGCATGGTGGCAGGCACCTGCAGTCCTAGCTACTTGGAAGGCTGAGGCAGGAGAATGGCGTGAACCCAGGAGGCAGAGCTTGCAGTGAGCAGAGATGGCGCCACTGCACTCCAGCCTGGACGACAGAGCGAGATTCTGTCTCAAAAAATAAATAAATAAAAATAAAAATAAATAAAATAATAAAATAAAAAAATTTGACTGCCCTGCTGGATTTCAGACTTGTGTGTGCCTTGTAACCCCTTTGTTCTGGCCAATTTCTCCTATTTGGAATGGCTGTATTTACCCAATACCTGTACCTCCATTGTATCTAAAAAGTAACTAGCTTGCTTTTGATTTTACAGGCTCATAGGTGGAAGGGACTTGCCTTGTCTCAGATGAGACTTTGGACTATGGACTTTTGGGTTAATGCTGAAATGAGTTAAGACTTTGGGGAACTGTTGGGAAGGCATGATTGGTTTTGAAATGTGAGGAAATGAGATTTGGAGTGGCCCAGGGGAAGAACAGTATGGTTTGTCTGTGTCCCCACCCAAATCTCAACTTGAATTATATCTCCCAGAAATCCCACGTGTTGTAGGAGGGACCCAATGGGAGGTAACTGAATCATGGGAGCCAGTCTTTCCCTTGCTATTCTTATGATAGTGGATAAGTCGCACGAGATCTGATGGGTTTATCAGGGGTTTCTGCTTTTGCTTCTTCCTCATTTTCTCCTGCCACTGCCATGTAAGAAGTGCCTTTCGCCTCCCGCCATGATTCTGAGGCCTCCCCAGTCATGTGGAACTGTAAGTCCAATGACACCTCTTTTTCTTCCCAGTCTCGGGTATGTCTTTATCAGCAGCATGAAAACGAACTAATACACTCAGTAATAGAATAGTTGGGTCAAATGGTATTTCTGGTTCTAGGTCTGTGAAGAATTGCCACACTGTCTTCCACAATGGTTGAACTAATTTACATTCCCGCCAACAGTATAAAAGTGTTTCTTTTTTCTCTGAAGCCTTGACAGCATCTGTGGTTTCTTGAGTTTTTAGTAATCACCATACTGACTGGCATGAGATGGTATCTCATTGTGATTTTAATTTGCATTTCTCTAATGATCAGTGATGTTAGGCTTTTTTCATATGTTTGGGTGCTACATAAATGTCTTCTTTTGGAAGTGTCTGTTAATGTCCTTTGCCCACTTTTTAATGTTCTTTTTTTCTTGCAAATTTGTTTAAGTTCCTTGTAGACTCTGGATATTAGACCTTTGTAAGATGGATAGGTTACAAAATTTTTCTCACATTCTGTGGGTTGTCTGCTCACTCTGATAATAGTTTATTTTGCTGTAGAGAAGCTCTTCAGTTTAATTAGATCCCATTTGTCAGCATTTGCTTTTGTTGCAATTGCTTTTGATGTTCTTGTCATGAAGTCTTTGCCCATGTCTATGTCCTGAGTGGTGTTGCCTAGATTTTCTTCTAGGGTCTTTATAGTTTTGGGTTTTACATTTAAGTCTTTAATCCATCTTGAGTTAATTTTTGTATAAGGTGTAAGGAAGGGGTCCAGTTTCAACTTTATGCATATGGCTAGCCAGTTCTCCCAGCACCATTTATTAAATAGGGAATCCTTTCCCCATTGCTTGTTTTTATCAGGTTTTTTGAAGATCAGTTGGTTGTAGATGTGTGGTCTTATTTCTGAGTTCTGTGTTCTGTTCCACTGGTCTGTTTTTGTACCAGTACCATGCTGTTTTGGTTACTTTAGCCTTGTAGTGTAGTTTGAAGTCAGGTAGCATGATGTCTCCAACTTTGTTCTTTTTGCTTAGGATGATTGTCTTGGCTAATGGGCTTTTGGTTCCGTGTGAATTTTTAAATAGTTTTCTTCTAATTCTGTGAAGAATGTCAGTGGTAGTTTGACGGGAATAGCATTGAATCCACAAATTACTTTGGGCAGTATGGCCATTTTCATGATATTGATTTTTTGTATTCATGAGCATGGGATATTTGTCCATTTGTTTGTGTCCTCTCTGATTTCCTTGAGCAGTGGTTTGTAAATCTCTTTGAAGAGGGTTTTCCCTTTCCTTGTTGGCTGTATTCCTAGGCATTTACTCTTTGTAGCAATTGTGAATGGGAGTTCATTCATGATTTGGCTCTCTGCTTGTCTGTTGTTGGCGTATAGGAATGCTTGTGATTTCTGCACATTGATTTTGCATCCTGAGACTGCTGAAGTTCCTTATGAGCTTAAGAAGTTTTGGACTGAGACAATGGGATTTTCTAGGATCTAGGATCATGTCATCTGTAAAGAAAGACAATTTGACTTCTTCTCTTCCTATTTAAATATGCTTTATTTCTTTTTCTTGCCTGATTGTCCTGGCCAGAAATTCCAATACCATGTTGAATAGGAGTGGTGAGAGTGGGCATTGTTGTTTTGTGCATGTGTTTAAGGGGAATGCTTTTGGCTTTTGCCCATTCAGTATGATATTGTCTGTGGGCTTGTCATAAGTGACTCTTATTATTATGAGGTATGTTCCTTCAATACCTAGTTTATTGAGAGTTTTTAACATGAAGGGATGTTGAATTTTATTGAAGGCCTTTCCTGTGTCTATTGAGACAATCATGTGGTTTTTGTCTTTAGTTCTGTTTATTTAATGAATTATGTTTATTGATTTGCATATGTTGAAACAGCCTGGCATCCTGGTGATGAAGCCAACTTGATCGTGGTGGATAAACTTTTTGATATGCTGGTGGATTCGGCTTGCCATTATTTTATTGAGGATTTTTTTTTATTAGTGTCCATCAGAGATATTGGCCTGAAGTTTTCTTTTTTTGTTGTATCTGTGTCAGGTTTTGTTATCAGGATGATGCTGGCCTCATAAAATAAGTTAGGGAGGAGTTCCTCCTTTTCAATTATTTGGAATAGCTTCAGAAGAAATGGTACCAGCTCTTCTTTGTACCTCTGGTGGAATTCAGCTGTAAATCTGTCTGGTCCTGGGCTTTTATTTTTGTTGGTAGGCTATTTATTATGCCTCAATTCCAGAACTCGTTATTCGTCTATTGAGGGATTCAACTTCCTGGTTCAATCTTGGGAAGGTGTATGTGTCTAGGAATTTCTTTTAGATTTTTTTAGTTTATGTGCATAGAGGTGTTTATAGTATTCTCTGATGGTTGTTTGTACTTCCATGGGGTCAGTGGTGATATCCCCTTTATCATTTTTTATTGTGTCTATTTGATTTTTCTCTCTATTATTCTTTATTAGTCTAGCTGGCAGTCTGTCTATATTATTAATATTTTCAAAAGACCAGATTCTGGATTCGTTGATTTTTTGAAGAGTTTTTTGGTGTCTCTGTCTTCTTCAGTTCCAGTCTGATTTTGGTTATTTCTTGTCTTCTGCTAGCTTTGGGGTTTGTTTGTTCTTGGTTCTGTAGTTCTTCCAGTTGTGATGTTACGATGTCGACTTGAAATCTTTCTAGCTTTTTGATGTGTGCATTTAGTACTATAAATTTCCCACTTAACACTGCTTTAGCTGCATCCCAGAGATTCTGATACATTGTCTCTTTCTTCTCATTGGTTTCAAAGAACTTCCTGATTTCTGCATTAATTTCATTATTTACCCAGGAGTCATACAGGAGTAGGTTGTTCAATTTCCATGTAGTTGTGTGGTTTTGAATGAATTTCTTAATCCTGAGTTCTAATTTGATTTCACTATGGTTTGAGAGACTGTTTGTTATGATTTCGGTTCTTTTGCATTTGCTGAGGAGTGTTTTACTTCCAAATATGTGAACAATTTTAGAATAAGTGCCATGTGGCACCAAGAAGAATGTATATTCCGTTTTTTTGGGCGGAGAGTTCTGTAGATATCTCTCAGGTCCACTTGATCCAGTGCTGAGTTCAAGTCCTGAATATCTTTGTTTTTTTTTAATTTTATTATTATTATACTTTAAGTTTTAGGGTACATGTGCACAATGTGCAGGTTTGTTATGTATGTATACATGTGCCATGTTGGTGTGCTGCACCCATTAACTCGTCATTTAGCATTAGGTATATCTCCTAATGCTATCCCTCCCCTCTCCCCCCCACCCCACAACAGTCCCCGGTGTGTGATGTTCCCCTTCCTGTGTCCATGTGTTCTCATTGTTCAATTCCCACCTATGAATATCTTTGTTAATTTCCTGTCTCAATGATCTGTCTAATATTGATAGTGGGGTGTTAAAGTCTCCCACTATTATTGTGTGAGAATCTGAGTGTCTCTATAGGTCTCTAAGAATTTGTTTCATGAATCTGGGTGCTCTTGTGTTGGCGGATGTATATCTAGGTTAGTTAGCTCTTCTTGTTGAATTGAACCCTTTACCATTATATAATGCTCTTCTTTGTCTTTTATGATCTTTGTTGGTTTAAAGTCTGTTTTGTCAGTAACTAGGATTGCAACCCCTGCTTTTTTTTCTGCTGTCCATTTGCTTGGTAGATTTTCCTCCATTCCTTTATTTTGAATGTATGCGTGTCTTCGCACATGAGATGGGTCTCTTGCATACAACACACTGATGAGTCTTGACTCTTTATCCAGCTTGTCATTCTGTGTCTTTTAATTGGGGCATTTAGCCTATTTATATTTAAGGTTAATATTGTTATGTGTGAATTTGATCCTGTCATCATGATGCTAGCTGGTTGTTTTGCAGACTTGTTTATGTAGTTGCTTCATAGTGTCATTGGTCTGTGTACTTTAGTGTGTTTTTGTAGTGGCTGGTAATGGTTTTTCCTTTCCACATCCAGTGCTTCCTTCAGGAGCTCTTGCAAGGTAGATCTGGTGGTGACAAATTCCCTCAGCATTTGCTTGACTGAAAAGGATTGTATTTCTCCTTCGCTTATGAAGCTTAGTTTGGCCAGATATGAAATTCTAGATTGGAAATTATTTTCTTTAAGAATGTTGAATATTGGCCACCAATCTCCTCTGGCTTGTAGGGTGTCTGCTGAGAGGTCTGCTGTTACTCTTACGGTCTTCCCTTTGCAGGTGACCTGGCCTTTCACTCTGGCTACCCTTAACATTTTTTCCTTCATTTCGACCTTGGAGAATCTGATGATTATGTGTCTTGGGGTTGATCTTCTCATGGAGTATCTTACTTGGTTTCTCTGAATTTCCTGAATTTGAATATTGGCCTGTCTTGCTGGTGACATCCTGAAGTATGTTTCTCAACTTAGGTAATTTTCCCCGTCTCTTTCAGGCACCCCAATCAGTCATAGCTTCAGTCTCTTTTACATAATCTCATAGTTCTTGGAGGTTTTGTTCATTCCTTTTCATTCTTTTTTTCTGTAATATTGTCTGCCTGTCTTATTTTGGTAAGATGGTCTTTAAGTTCTGAGATTCTTTCTACTGCTTGGTCTATTTGGCTACTGATACTTGTGGGTGGATTGCAAAGTTCTTGTGTTGTGTTTTTCAGCTCCATCAACCTATTTATGTTCCTCTCTAAACTGGTTATTCTGGTTAACTGGTTAACAGCTCCTGTAATGTCTTATCATGGCTCTTAGCTTCTTTGCATTGGGTTGGAACATACTCCTTTTGCTCAGTGAAGTTTATTATTACCCACCTTCTGAAGTCTACCTCTGTCAAGTCATCCATCTCAGCCTCAGCCCAGTTCTGTGCCATTGCTGGAGAGGTGTTGTAATCATTTGGAGGAGAAGAGACGCTATGGATTTTTGTATTTTCAGCATTTGTTGTTGACTTTTTCGCATCTTCATGGGTTTATCTACCTTCAATCTTTGAAAATGCTAACCTTTGGTTGGGGGTTTTGTGGGGTCTTTTGCTGTTGTTGTTGTTATTGTCATTGTTGCTTTCTGATTATTTTTCTTTTAAAAGTTAGGACCCTCTTCTACAGAGTGGCTGTGGCTTGCCGGGGGTCCACTCCAGATCCAACTCACCTGGGTCCCTCCTGCACCTGGAGGTGTCACCAGTGGAGGCTGCAGAACAGCAAAGGTGGCTGCCTGCTCCTTCCTCTGGCAGCTCCATCCCAGGGCACTGACCTGATGCTGGTCAGAACTGTCCTGTATGAACTGTCCAGCAACCCCTGTTGGAAGGTCTCACCTAGTCAGGAGGCATGGGATCATGGGATCAAGGATCTGCTTAAGGAAGCACTCTGGCTGCCCATTGGTGGAGCAGGTGCACCGTGCTGGGGGGAATCCCCCTCCTCTGGATTGCCAGGCTCTTCAGAGCCAACAGGCAGGAAAGAGGAAGTTTTCTGAACTGTGGAGATTGTGGCCACCCCTCCCTCTAGGGGATGGACAGCCACAGTTTCCACAGTTTATGAGCAGAGTTCTGTCCATAAACCCCTAGCTGGAGTTGCTGAAATTCCTGCAGAGAGGCCCCACCAAGCGAAGAAGGATGGATCCGGATCCCACCTACAGAAGCAGTCTGGCCACGATCTGCCACAGCTGCTGTGCTGCACTGTGGGGAGTTCCTGCCAGTCCAAACCATTCAGTCTCCCCAGCAGTGGGACGGGAAAATGGCCAACTGGAGCCACAGCAACGGCAGCCACCCCTCCCCCTAGAAACTCAGTTGTTTTAATCAGTCCCCAACATGCTGCCACTGGCCACAATCCCAGCAGCCATTAAGAGTGTGCACAGTTCTGTGCTTGGGACCCAAGGCTCTGGTGGCATGGGCTCACAAGAACATCTCCTGATCAGGAGTACAGATCAGCTTGTACAGATGCATGAAAAAAGCATGGTTTCCCTGGTGGGGTAGCATAATCATTCACCATCTCCCTTGGCTTGGGGTGGGAGTTCCCCTTACCCCTTGTGACTCCTGGGTGGGCTGTTGCTCCACTCTGCTTTTCTTCACTCTCTGTGAGTTGTGCCAACTGCCTAGTCAATACCAATGAGAAAACCTGGATACCTCAGCAGAAGGTACAGTGTTCATTCGCTGTTTCCATTCTCCTCAGTGGGAGCCACAGACCAGAGCTACTTCTAATCAACATTCTTGGCCTCTCCCTTGTTTTTTTATTGTTGGGTTTTAGAATTTCTTTACAAATCCTGGATTTTTTTTAAGAGACAGTGTCTTTCTTTCTTGCCTACTTGCCTAGGCTGGTCTTGAACTCCTGGGTCTAAGTAATGCTCCTGCCTTAGCCTACCAAGTAGCTGGGATTACAGGTATGAGGCACCATGCCTGACCATATTTTGGATATTGATCTCTTATGAGATATACTATTTGTCAACATCTTCTTTCATTCTGTTGATTACCATGTTTACTCTATTGGCACTGTCCTTTCGTGCACAGAACTTTTAAAGTTTTTATGTCACATTTATTAAAGAGAAAGTTCAAGACATGATATAGAAGAGTAATAGGAACATGTTATGTACATATAGTTGCCATTCAACTAAATTAATTGATTTCTGTAATGTGCCATTTGGGGCAAAAACAATAACATTGTAGAACCTTTCCAAGAGATTAACTTTCTATTTTCAAAGACCAACAATTCCACCCAAGTAAATTACTGCAAAGGCATCCTGACTGGTCTCCTTGCCTCTACTTTACAATGTAGACATTGCTCATAAATCCAAGTTAATCTCTCTGAATGTTAGTTCCTTCAACTGCAAAATGAGAATATCTATTCCATGGAGTAATGCTGGGGATTAAATGAAATGGCAAATATAAAGCATCAAAAATAGTGTTGAACACATAGTAGATAATAATAATTATTTTTAAATATTTTAAATATATTTTTATATCAATAGTTTCTGGGGTACAAATGACTTTTTGTTACATGGATAAATTGTATAGTTGTGAAACCTGAGATTTTAGTGCACCTGTCACCCAAGTAGCATAAATTGTACTCAATATGTAGTTTTTTATCCTTCACCCCCATCCCATCCTCCCCTCTTCTGAGTCTCCAATGTCCATTTTACCACTCTGCATGCCTTTGTGTACCCATAGCCTAGCTCCCACTTGTAAGTGAGAACATACGGTATTTGTTTTTCCTTTCCTGAGTTAGAAGTTTTAAATTTTGATGAAGTCCAATTCATCTATTTTTTCTTTTCTTGTCTATGTCTTTGGTGTTATGTCCAGGAAATCATAGCCTAATCAAATGTCATGAAGATTTTCCTTTATGTTTTTTTCTAATGGTTTGGTAGTTTTAAGTTTTACATTTAGGTTTTTGATTCATTTTGAGTTCATATTGTCTACGATCTAAGGTAAGAATCCAATTTCATTCTTTTGTATGTGGACTTCAGTTTTCCCAGCATCATTGTTGAAAAGGCTGTCCTTTCCTCAATTAATGGCCTTTGCACCCTTGTTGAAAATCGTTTGACAGTATATGTCAGGGTAATTTCCTGGTTTTGATATTGTGCTTTAGTTATATAAGATGTGACAATTGGGGAAAACTGGATGAAGGGTATAGAGAATCTTTCTGTACTATCTTGGTAACTTCCTCTGAATCTATAATGATTTCAAAATACAACATTGAAAAATAAAGTCAACCAAAATAATATGTTTATTTAAAAAGAAAACCAATTCAATAAGGTACCTAATAAAAATTATCCGAAGTGAAATACAAAGAGAAAAGAAGAGTGGGGGATAAAAGCAAAACAGAGCATCCACGAGCTGTAGTACCATATCAAATGGTACTATATTTTTGCCTGAAAAGTGTTAAACACTTATTTATTTGTTTTTAAACAAGGTCTCACTCTGTTGCCCAGACTAGAGTGCAGTGGTGCAGTCATGGCTCACTGCAGCCTTGACCTCCTGGGCTTAAGTGATCCTCCCACCTCATCCTCTCGAGTAGCTGGGACTACAGGTCTGTACCACCACACTCAGTTAATTTTTGTATTTTTTGTAAAGATGGTGTCTCCCCATGTTACCCAGACTGGTCTCAAACTCCTGGGCTCAAGCAATCCTCCAGCCCTGGCCTCCCAAACTGTTGGGATTGCCACACTTGACCTATTTTTTAAATTTACTTTTACTATTTGTTTCTCTTTGTGTTTCACTCTGAATAATTTTTATTGATCTATTTCAAATTCATTGATGCTTCCCAGGGCTGTGTCAAGTTTGCTGATGAGTTTGACAAATGTATTTTTAATTTCTGTTAATGTATTTTTATTTTATTTCAATTTTACTCTTTCTCAGATTTTCTATCTCTGCCGAAATTACCTATCTAATCTAGCATGTTGTCTACTTTTTCATAAGAGATTTTAGTATATTAATCATAGTTTATGAAGCAGGTTTACTAATTACCAACCCCAAAGGAGGACCCCCACTGTGTGGAGAATAGCAAAGATCACTACTATGCCAACCACTAGGAAAAGAAGTCCAGATACTTCTTTCCACTGCATCCTGAGCTACTGTTTAGGTCCACCACACACTGGTTACCTATTATCTGAGTCTGATGAAATAGAACATGCCCACACACAAGTTATGTAAAGCAGGTTTATTACTTACAGATCAGTAGCAAGGGACAGAAGAAGCCTCAGCTCCATTGTGAGTCAGTCCCCTAAAGCTCAAGAAAGTTGTCTGGGATATACAAAGTACTGACTACACCAATTATTATATCATGATCTAAAGTGTAAGTCACAAGTCAAACTCTTGATCACTTCATTCATATTACATGTTCCAGATTATAACCACTGGAAAACTTCTCTAACAGTAATTTTGCATGAACTCATGTGTTCTAAAACTACAACCAAGTGTGCATTTCTTCCTGATAGGCATTTAACACACTAAGTGACCATATGACTTAAATTGTCCATATGATGCTGAGAGTTATAAGATTCATAGACTCTTAAGTTTGGGCATACCAACCACAATCCATCATGCAATTAAAGCAGTACATTTGAAACCAGACTTCAGCAGGTTTAAAAACTAGGTGGTTGTTCTGGTTTGGTGATAGATACTACAATCCCAGAAGGGTTTATGCTCTTGTTTATCTTCTCCTTGATGGAGTATAATTGTTTTAGTGTCTACTGAATTTTCATCTAATTTGGTCTTGAGGTCTCTCTCATGAGAACAGCTATAAACTAGTTTTGCTCTGCTGGAGCTTTAGGGAATTTGGGTGTGGAGTTTACAATGTATCTTCATGGGATGCTTCTTTATTCTGGAAGATGGTCTAATGCCTAAGTGTCTGACCTGTAACCAAGCGCCCCTCTCACAGGAAACTTGTTTATACTGGAAGACACTTTTGTGGCTCTTGTCTGACCTGTGTCCGTTTATTCCTGCCAAAATTTCACTCTCTGGGACAGCTCTGTCTGGGTAAGAAGTTAAATTTGAAGGTGTCAGGTAAGATAGAAAGAAGACAATTCAACAAACCACATGACTCAAAATTCCAAAATTCGTATATTAAAACCTAACCTTGTTGTCCTCAGTGTGATCATTTTAAGAGATGATTAAGTCATGAGGACATGAGCCTCAAAGATGTGATTAGGACCCTTATAAAAGGACTCAAGGTTGAAGGGAATGCTCCCTTGCCCCTCCACCTTCCACCATGTGATTCACTTTCCGCCATGTGAAGACACTGCAAGATGGCCCTTACTAGATGCCAGTACCTTGATCTTGGACTTTCCAGCCTCCAGGACTGTGAGAAAATAAAATTCTGGTCTTTGTAATTTATCCAGTCTGTGGTGTTTTGTTATAGCAACACAAACAGTCAAAGACAACATCCTAGAGGGCAATGTCTTCCAGCCAGCACCATTCAATTATTCTTTTGGACTGACTACATCTAGGTAATGGGTATATATCATTATCCCATTGCTACGTCTTGTTACTAAATGGGTTTTGTAGTCTTGAGCAATATTAAACATAGCATCCCATGAGTGTTTGAATGGCAATGGTTTTGGAGGCAATGTAGGTGAGAATAGCAAATCCATATCCAAAGTGTATACTAATTCCAGAAAGAATAAATCACTTCCCCTCCAAGGTGGAAGATTTTGATACAGTCAACCTGACACCAACTCGCTGGCTGATCTCCTCAAGTAATGGGGCCATATGGTGAGTTCAGTGTTATCCTCTACTGCTGGCAGGGTGGAACTCAGCAATGCTATTAAGAAGATAATCCCTGCTGACTGTAGTCCTGGTTGTTGAGCCCATGCATATTACTTTTCCCTTCATTAGAGGAGGACTACAGTTGATAGCCATTATTACGAGAGATGCCTCAGGAACAAATTAGAGGAAATACAACGATATCTTTTAGTACTTTTATGCATGGTAATGACCATCAGTAGACACTAAAACAATCAATCCAGCAAGGACAGGGTAAATAACTGTATAGACCTTTCTGGAATAGTTGTCTCTGTCACTCAAACAGAAAAACAAACTATACTAAATTCAGAGGATGAGGGGAATCAGGAGCGGCTTGTGACGGAGGGAGATGAATATTAGTTACAGCCATAATGACAACGTAGTGGACACTGTTGTAAATTTCACTAACCGTCTTGCCTTAATCTTCTAGATCACAATTGGCCACTTTTCCTGACCTCCCTATTTGAAGAAAAATTAAAGTATGTTAATTTTCACAGGAAAAAAAATGAGAGGCACCATATTAGAGTATGGCAGCTTGGATCCCTGAATCACCAGCTTGAGAAGAGCTACTCACAAATCATCAGTATCTTCCTACTGTTACATTAGTGAGTTATAAAATTCTACCGTATTTCAGCCTTCATACACTTTCAAGTCTAGTTATTGTAGCAGTCTGGCCTATTCTAATTAATATAAAAAGAAGAAATAATAATTGTAGAAAAAATTAAACAGAGAATATAACAATTTTAATGGTTTCTCCTGAGCTAGACTTACTTGAAATGGTCCTCATTTTTTGTTTTAGTATTACCAGAGATGTAAGACAGAATCTCACGAAAATATTCAAGCTGGTGGATGAGGCCAAATTAGGCAACTAGGTTGTGTGTCTGGAATTCAAACCATATTAAGTACTCCCTGCCCGCCTTTCTCCTATCCTTTAGAGCAGAGCCTGATTCTCACATATTGTCCCATAAGTCTATATCAATCAAATCAATTTTTATTATCCTGAAAGCACCTATGGAAATACTACCTTTTTTGAAGTTAAATACGAGCACTCTGCTCCATGCTGTTTTACTGATATTTAGAACTGTACAAACTTATATTCTTTACATTTGTGGGAAATTATTATATTGTAGATGAGCCTAAAATATTCTGTGAATCAAAACTTACTATAACAAGTTGTAAAGAACAGCTTTAGTGGAAAGTGTGTACATGAAACTAGCAACCAAACACTCAAAGCAAGAAGAATAATAACTAAGTGACCACAAAGGAAATTTTTTTAATCACATGCCTGGCTCTTGCAGGTGGAGAAGGTTGTCTTGCCCAAAGGAAGTGGTTACTAGACCAGAGTGTAACCAAATACGGGATGCTGCTTTAAAAAAAAAAAAAAAAAAAAAAGATTCACAGAAGTTGTGCTTGAGTTAAACCACTAAGTACTTTCCTTGCCAGCCAATGAGAAGAAGTGAAGCAGCATCATTTGTCTCTGGCTGACTGAGCCAGTAAGTCTGTTACAGAAAAAAAAAAATCACTTAAAAGAGCAATAAACATAGAAAATATCAAAGCGTCTACTAGTCATGTGTGCAATCCACAGAAAAGAATAGAAGAAGTTTACTGAAGAAAAGTTTGATAAATAAAAGTACCACATTCTTGAACAAGACAATTTGTGTCAATTTTCCAAACAAAATACATAGACTTTGTGATGCTTTAATCTAAATATCAATAAGATAGTTTTGTTAACAAAATGTTTCTAATTTTTTTCAAGAATAATAAATATAAAAATAGCTATTGATAAAAATGAGGGGGTGTTGCTCTAGTAGATGCTTACAAATAATTATAAAGCTAAACAATTAAAACATGTTTCTACTGCCACTAAAAAAAAAAGTCAACTGTGGAACAACATTGACTGCACAGAAGCCGATCCAAATTTATGTTATGATTAACGAGATCGAAATTGTATTTATAGTAGTCCCCCCTTATTCATGGGGGATACACTGCAAGATCCCACAGTAGATGCCTGAAGCCACGGATTGTACCAAACCCTATACGTACTATGTTTTCATACACATACAAACCTATGATAAAGTGTAATTTATAAATTATTCACAGTCATAGATAAACAAAAACTAATAATAAAATAGAACAATTTTAACAATATACGGTAATAAAACTTAAGTAAATGGGGTCCCCTCTCTTTCTCAAAATGTCTTACTGTACTATACACCCCTATTTTCAAACTGTGATTAACCACAGATAACTGAAACTATGGAAAGTGAAACCATGGATAAGGTGGGGCTACCGTATTTTATTTCTAGAAGTTACTAAACTTTTGAGAAAATTTTGGGATGGGACATAAACATATTTCGAAGAAGCTTCCAGTGTTATAGTTTATATTCTTCATTTCTTTGAGGCACAGAAGAACCCATTTCACTCTTTTGGAGTCAATCCAGGTTTGTGGGGTAAAGGACTGTAGCTGATGAGGATTGGAAGTCCGTGAGATATAAGGGGTTAGGAGGCAAGTTTTTGCAATATACTTGAACAACATGGCACCTATGTGGAATGGAAGAGAAAGCAGCGTAGTGGTGAGGAAATTCTGGTGGGTGAAGACATTCTCAGGTGAAATTTTTAGAAGAAAAAGTTATTTTAAGAGAATTTTAAATCATTTTCCTTGGTATTAGAAACACAATTCTAATTCAATGTTTTTCAAGAGATTGCAATAATGGTTTGGAGTGTTTTAAATGGTGCACTGGGAAGTTTACTCTTGCTTGTTAAAGAATGCCACATTAGAACTGCTTTCAAGAACAGAACAAGTTATCCTGAATTTATGTTGGATAAATTTTTAAAAATGTAGTACATAATAAAAGTGGACTTTTTATTCAGTGGAATGAGGGAAATTTACTAAAAATGATGTTGGGTCTATTGGTTATTTAGTAGGAAAATAAAAAGAGCTCATACATACACACATACAGAGATGATATTGAGTTAGATTAAAAGTTTAAATGTAAATCAAGAAGGAACTCAAAATACAGAAAAAGATACATGTTAATATTTATTTTATTAAAAAGTGTTGGAATGATTTAAATAAAACAAAAGAAAGAAACCATATAGAAAAATATTGTTAGACTATATTTTTAAATCATCATAAATACAACCACAACTTAAATGAAAAATCAAGAGTTAATATGTGAAATGTATATCAATTTTTAAGCATTGCGCTATATTAAAAGAAAGTGCTTATAGTGCAGTACGTGAACCTTAAATGAGCAAAATATATTGTATTAGTTTTCTAGCCACTGTCACAGAAAATTAGTACAAATGCAGAAGCTTAGAACAAAACCCATTTATTACATCAGCTTTCTAAGTCAGAAGTCTAGGCAGAGCTCACCTGGGCTTTCTGCTTAGGATGTCACAAGACTCAAGTCACAGAGACATTGTAATTCTCATCTGAGTTTGGGGTCCTCTTCCAAGCTCACTGCCTGTTGGCAGAATTCATTTCCACGTATGACTGAGGTCCATAGCAACTATAAATATAGGTGCATCTAATAAAATATCCTCAAAGACATGAATCAAAATTGATATAATATTTAGGTAGAAAGCAATAAATCTACCATTTATGGTATGATATTTTAATATATGTTTCTAGGTTCTTTATAAGTCAAGAAGGCAAAAGTAGGATATAAAAGATCTAAACAACACAATTAGTAAGCTTAACCTAATAGACTCAAATATATTATAAAGTTATTGTCTATGTTCTCATCTATGTGCCAGGTGGTAGATTCACCAGTGCCTATTCACCAGTGCCTATTATATTAATTACATTACATTACATTAAAAAACATTAAAAATAATAAACTGGCTGGGCGCGGTGGCTCACAACTGTAATCCCAGCACTTTGGGAGGCAAGGCAGGTGAATCACCTGAAGTCAGGAGTTTGAGACCAGCCTGGCCAACATGGTGAAACCCTGTCTCTACTAAAAAAATACAAAATTACCAGGGTATGGTGGTATGCACCTTAGTCCCAGCTACTCAGGAGACTGAGGCAGGAGAATCGCTTGAACCTGAGAGGTGGAGGTTGCAGTGAGCTGAGATCGCACCACTGCATTTCAGCCTGGGCTATTAAGCAAGACTCTGTTTCAAAAAAAATTAAAATTAAAATTAAAATTAATGTAATAGGTGCTGGTGAATCTACCAGTTCACATAGATGAGAACATAGACAATAACTTTATAATATATTCAAGTCTATTAGGTCAAGCTTACTAATTGTGTTGTTTAGATCTTTTATATCCTACTTTTGCCTTCTTGACTTATAAAGAACCCAGAAACATATATTAAAATATCATACTATAAATGGTAGATTTATTGCTTTCTACCTAAATAGTATATCAATTTTGATTCATGTCTTTGAGGATATTTTATTAGATGCACCTATATTTATAGTTGCTATGTTTTCCTTTTCTTTTCTTTCTTTTTTTAGACAAAGTCTGGCTCTATCGCCCAGGCTGGAGTGCAGTGGTGCAATCTCGGCTCACTGCAACCTACACCTCCTGGACTCAAGCCATCCTCCCACCTCTGCCTTCCAAGTAGCTGGGATTACAGACACGCGCCACCATGCCCAGCTAATTTTTGTTTTTTGCAGAGACAGGTTTTAGCCATGTTGCCTAGACTGGTCTTGAAATCATAAGCTCAAGCGGTCCACCTGCCTCAGCCTCCCAAAGTGCTGGGATTACAGGTGTGAGCCCCTGTGCCCAGCCTTTGTTTTCCTTGACTAGGTGAATGTTTATCATTATATCAGTCTTTCTGTCCTACGATATCTTTTTCCTTAAAATTTGTTTTTGACATTAATAAATAAACACCATTTCTTAGAATTAGTTTTTGCATAATATGTCCTTTCTATGTTTTACACTTAATCTCTGAAATGACTTTTATGCTTTAGGTATGTGTCTTGTAAACAGTATAACCTGAATTTATGTTTTTGCATTCAATTTGTCAGTCTCTGTCTTCTGGTCACAAGTTTAGTCTATTTGCAGTTACTAAAATTAATGAGATGTGTGGACTTTATATTATAATATTTTTCACTTTAATCTTTCCCATGATTTTACTGACTTTTTTATCCTGTTGTCACATGTCTAGAACCCATTCTAACGTGTATCAGGCCTGGGTATGCTGCCTGGAAGGTGGATGTATTTTGCCTCCTACTTTGGGATGCGTTTTCAGTCTCTGTTAAGGTTTTGGTTGCTCATTTCTGGCATCCCCTTCACACAGGAAATACCCAGATTCAGCCATTTGCAGATTTTGAAACATTGTTCTGGTTCGCTGCATATGGCCTGTCTCTGGACTCAACTCAACATCCCATGTCCTCGCTCAGACTATATAACTCTAGACCCAGCCTGTTAATATGGACTGCTTGTATTTTTTCAGAGAAACCTCTAAAAGAAATTATCAATTTCTTCAAAACATTAACTTGATAGGTTCTTTTTAAATCAAGTAATCTGTTGAAAAAAAAATTATATGGGTGCTCTAAACTATATCCCCTGGATAATCTAACCTGTAAATAGTTTGAACAGTTATCTTTTACAGCCAGAATAACAATACTAGTTAATACCAGAGGACTAATCTATGGGTAGCTCGTTTCAAAATTTACTCTGAGAGCTTAAAAGAAAATATATTTTGTAGGGAAACAAAGCATATTTTTCCAAGATCCAGTCAGTAGTGAAGGCATCTTAATAGTATCCAGGATCCTCACATGTGAAGAAAAGTGAACTAGGTAACAAATGAGAAGACTTACATACGCTTAGTTCTTGCAGGAGGAAAGGAACTATCTGGGTATGGAAAAGGTTACTAGGCAAGATTGTGATTGAAGAGAAAGGATAATGATAAAGGGGCTTTGCAGAAGCTCTGGTTAGAAGAAATAACTAATAGTAATGAATATGTATCTCTCCAACCAATGAGAAGCATATGATGAGGCAGAGTCACTTGTCTCTGGCAGTCCAAGCTACTAAGAAGCACAAATAAAATATATAGTAGCAGGGGGAGATGGGAAGGGTGAGAGAATGTAGGATAAATTACCATTCAAACTGCCGGTAGAAATATAAAATTGTAAGGAATAAATTCCACAAAAAAATACAGTGTTTTAATTACAAAAATTTACCATGCAGCATAAAGACATAAATGATTTAAGAAACATGACATGTTCAGAGATGGGAGTGTAATTTTGGGCTTGTATTTTCAAACAAAATTCATATGACAATGAGAATTCAAACAGTTTAGATTATTAAAATTAAATTTAATGAAGTTGGTAGCTATATTCTGGTTATGTACAAGAATGTATCCTTTTCTTAGGAAATACACACTGAAGTACTTAAGGATAAAGAGTTCTGATGAGTGCAATTTCAGAAAAAAAAATATATAAGTACAAAATACTATTCTTATTGCAAGTTTTCTTTAAGTTTACTTTTTTATTTTTTTTTTTGAGCAGAATAGTTGTCCAGGTGCAGTGGCTGACTTATTTATTTATTTATTATTTTTTTAATATATATGTTTTATTATACTTTAAGTTCTAGGGTACATGTACACAACGTGCAGGTTTGTTACATATGTATACATGTGCCATGTTGGTGTGCTGCACCCATTAACTCATCATTTACATTAAGTATATCTCCTAATGCTATCCCTCCCTCCTCCCCCCTCCCCACAACAGGCCCCCATGTGTGTGATGTTCCCCTTCCTGTGTCCAAGTGTTCTCATTGTTCTTTTTTACAAACTAAAATGAAAAAATCTACATGAGGCTATAAAAATATTACCTCTATAAAATAAAAACAAAATGGAATGTAAAAAGAGACTGGACACACCATAATGTGAAGATTCTCCTTTTTTGTGTACTCATATATCCAAAAAGGAAACTTTCCATTTTGTAGTTGGGAAGTAGAGCCAAGATGTAGGAGTAGGAGGGGAGTTGAGAACCAACAATTCAGTAAAAATGCTTTCAGTCAATTCCCATCTGTACTCAAAAAAAAAAAAAATTTTTTTTTTTGAGACAAAGTCTTGCTTTTGTCCCCCAGGCTGGAGTGCAATGGCTCGATCTCGGCTCACTGCAACCTCCGCCTCTTGGGTTCAAGCGATTCTCCTTCCTCAGCCTCCCGAGTAGCTAGGATTACAGGCACCTGCCACCATGCTTGGCTAATTTTTGTATTTTTAGTAGAGACGGGGTTTCACCATGTGGCCAGGCTGGTCTCGAACTCCTGACCTCAGGTGATCTGCCCTCCTCGGCCTCCCAAAGTGCTGGGATTACAGGTGTGAGCCACTGCACCTGGCCTCAAAATTTAAATAATTAGGTAACAAACTATGACACAATTATATACAGTCCTTCAAAACAATGTCTTAGAAAGATATTTAATGACAAAATAGAGTTGTTTGCCATATGTTAAATTTAAAAGGAGTTACAAATTAGCACATTCACTGTGATCTAAAACCTCTAAATCTGTTTATGTTTTTATTTATATCTACATTTATAGCTTTGAAGCCCTCCCAATATCAACTGTCACCCAAGGTTCTAAAATACAATAAAAGTGATCTTGTTTTCTTCTGTTCTTGGTTATAATTCTAAGACGGTCTGACAAGTCTATTGTGATTGACTTTAAAAATACAGATGTTAAATGAAATCTGTATGTGGAACTATTGGTCTCAATGATATATGCAACTCTGGAAGTTGGGTACTCAGCTTTATCTAATCTCTCCCTTTGCTCACCTCCACCAGGCTTGCAACGCCCTCTACAGTCCAGGCAACAGGTACATGGTTTTCAATCCCATTTGAACTGCTTCTGGGTCTCCCTATGTTGCCTAGGCTGGTTTCATACTCCTGAGCTCAAGCAATCCTCCCACCTTGGCCTCTCAAATTGCTCAAGCATCTTCTCTGAACCCAGTTGAATAAAACTGGAAATTAATAAGAAGAGAAATTTGGGAAACTATAAAAATACATGGAAATTAAACAATATGCTCCTGAATGACCAGTGGGTCAATGAAGAAATTAAGAGGGAAATTGAAACATTTATTGAAACAAATGACAATGAAAACACAACATACCAAAACCCATGGGATACAGCAAAAGCAGTAATAAGGAGGAAGTTTATAGCTATAAGTGCCTACATCAGAAAAGGAGAAACTTTAAATTAGCAATCTAATGATGCATCTTAAAAACTAGAAAAGCAAGAGGAAACCAAAGCAAAAATTAGTTGAAGAAAAGAAAAAGTAAAGATCAGAGTGGAAATAAATGAAATTGAAAAAAATACAAAAGATCTATGAAACAAAAATTTGCTTTTTTGAAAAGTTAAACAAAATTGACAAACCTTTAGCAAGACAAACTAAGAAAAAAAGAGAGAAGATCCAGATAAATAAAATCATAAATGGAAAAGGAGACATTACAACTGATACTGCAGAAATTCAAAGGATCATTAGTGGCTACTATGAGCAACTATATGCTATAAATTGGAAAACCTAGAAGAAATGGACAAAGTCCTAGACACATGCAACCTACCAAGATTAAAACAGGAAATAACTCAAAACCTAAAAAGATCAATAACAAGTAACAAGATCAAAGTCACAATAAACAGTCTACCAGTAAATAAATTCCAGGACCTGATGACTTCACTGCTGAATGCTACCAAACATTCAAAGAAGAACTAATACCAATCCTACTCAAATTATTCCAAAAAATAGAGAAGGAGGGAATACTTCTACAAGTATTTTATGAGGGAATACTTCTAAACTCATTCTATGAGCCCAGTATTACCTTGATACCAAAACCAGACAAAGACACATAAAAAAAACCTGTAGGCCAATATCTCTGATGAATATTGATGCAAAAATCCTCAACAAAATATTAGTAAACTGAATTAAACAATACATCAGAAAGATCACTCATAACAATCAAGTGGGATTTATCGCTGGGATGCAAGGATGGTTCAACATACACAAATTAACGTGATACATCACATCAACACAATGAAGATAAAAATAAAATGTTCATTTTAATTGATGCTGAAAAAAGCATTTGATAAAATTTAACATCATTTCATGTTAAAAATTCTCAAAAACTGGGGATATAAAGAACATACTTCAACATAATAAAAGCCATATATGACAGACCCACAGCTAGTATCATACTGAATGGGGAAAAACTGAAAGTCTTTTTTCTAAGATCTGGAACATGACAAGGATGCCACTGTCACCACTGTTATTCAACATAGTACTGGAAGTCCTAGCTAGAGCAATTAGACAAGAGAAAGATATAAATGGCATCCAAATTTAAAAGGAAGAAGTCAAATTATCCTTGTTTGCAGAGGATATGCTCCTATATTTATAAAAACTTAAAGACTCCACAAGAATACTATTAGAACTGATAAATTCAATAAAGTTCCAGGATAGAAAATCAGCACATAAAATCAGTAGAATTTCTATATGCCAATAGTGAACAATGTGAAAAAGAAATTTAAAAAGTAATTCTATTTAAAATAGCCACACACAAAATGAAATACCTAGGAATTAACTTGACCAAGGAAGTGAAAAATCTCTATAATAAAAGAAATTGAGGAATAAGAAATCTCTATAATAAAAGAATTTTTTATAATAAATTCTGTATTCTATTATAATTCTATAATAAAGGAAATTGAGAATAAGAAATCTCTATAATACAAGAAATTTTTTTATAATAAAAAAAGGAAACATGTTCCATGTTCATGGCTTGGAAGAATCAATAGTGTTAAAATGTCCATACTACCCAAAGCAATCTACAGATTCAACACAATCACTATCAAACAACCAATGACATTTCTCACAGAAATGGAAAAAAATCTTAAAATTATATGGAACCACAAGACTCAGAATAGCTAAAGCCATCCTAAGCAAAAAGAATAAAACTAGAAGAATCACATTACTGACTTCAAATTATGCTACAGAGCTATGGTAACCAAAACAGCATGGTACTGGCATAAAAACAGACGTATAGACCAGTGGAATGGACTAGAGAACCCAGAAGCAAATCCACAAGCCTACAGTGCACTCATTTTTGACAAAAGTGCCAAAAACATACACTGGGGAAAAGACAGTCTCTGCAAAAAGTGATGCTGGGAAAACTGGATATTCATATGCAGAAGAATAAAACTAGACTCGTTTCTCTCATCATATACAAAAATCAAATCAAAATGGATTAAGGACTTAAATCTAAGACCTCAAACCATGAAACTACTACACGAAAACATTAGGGAAAATCTCCAGGACATTGGTCTAGGCAAAAATTTCCTGAGTGATACTCTACAAACACAAGCAACCAAAGCACCAATGGAGAAATGGGATTACATCAAGTTAAAAAGCTTCTGAACACAAAGGATACAATCAACAAAGTGAAGAGACAACCCACAGAATGGAAGAAAATATCTCCAAACTACCCATCTGATGAGGGATGAATAACCAGAATATATAAGGATTCAAACAACTCTATAGGAAAAAACTAATAATCCAATCAAAAGTTGGGCAAAAGATTTGAATAGATGTTTCTCAAAATAAGACATACAAATGACAAACAGGCATATGAAAAGGTGCTCAACATCATTGATCATCAGAGAAATGCAAATCAAAACTACAATGAGGTATCATCTCACTCCAGTTAAAAATGGCTGATATCGAAAAGACAGGCAATAGCAAATGCTGGGAAGGATGTGAAATAAAGAACACTTGGACACTATTGGTGGGAACGTAAATTAGTACAACTACTATGGAGAACAATTTGGAGGTTCTTCAAAAAACTAAAAATTGAGCTCTCATATGATCCAGCAATCCCACTGCTGGGTATACACTGAAAAGAAAAAAAAAGTCAGTATATCAAAGTATCCATCAACAGTTGAATGGATAAAGAAAATGTGGTACATATATATAATGGAGTACTATTCAGCCATAAAAAAGAATGAGATCCAGTCATTTGCAACAACAGGCATGGCAGTTCCATAAGTGAAATAAGCTAGGCACAGAAAGACAAATATCGCATGTTCTTAGTTATTTGTAGGATCTAACAATTAAAATGATTGGATTTATGAACATAGAGAGTAGAAGGATGATTACCAGAGGTTGGAAAGGTACTGGGGGATCAGGGAGGGAGGGATATGGGGATGGTTAATGGGAAAAAATTGGAAAGAATGAACAAGATCTACTATTTGATAGCACAACAGGGTGACTATAGTAAATAGTAACTATACATTTAAAATAACTTCAAGAGTGTAACTGGATTGTTTGCAACTCAATGGATAAATGCTTGAGGGTATGGATGCCCATTCTTCATGATTTACTGATTTCACATTGCATCCTTTTTTTCAAAACATCTCATGTACCTGATACATATATACACTTACTATGTGCCCACAAATATTAGTAATAAACACAATTTAAACAAATTAGAGCCCACACATCCCATATACATACTTCCCATATTAAAGCCCAAACATCTCATATAAACACTTTATTATTTGAAATTCTTGGCCATGGAATATCGTATACTTTCATTTAATTTCTTCACCAACTCTATCCAAAAACAAAAAAAACCCTTCAATCCCCATATGCACAGATCTTTGTTAGTCACATCTGCTCATGGACTCAACAAACAGTAATTGAGTCCACTGACTGCATTTCGGAAATCCACACTCATGATCTTCCTCTGTATGTTAAATAAATCAGAGCCATCGTGAGAGCATGTCATCATGGGGAACACAAGTGCCTGAGTTAGATTGATCAAAAAGATAAAATTTGTTATCATAACAAAGGGCTAACTCACAGAAGCCAAAGAAGATATGTAAAAGGATTGATCTAAGGATAGTACACTGTGTGTTATACAAGAAATCCTCTGTATATTTCTTATCTCTAATTTTCTCTGCCTGTCATCTTCATTATTTTATATATCTCTGCTTTCAGATTCACATAGTACAAAATGGTCCCTGCCAAGATGTTCTCAATTCATCTCTCCTTTGCCCTAGGGCTTCTTTTCCTAGACCAGTCAGTTGCTTACTGTACACCACTAAAGTGTTGCCAGGGGATGAGTTCACATTACAGTACATGAACATAGTTACTCCTGATGTGAGCTTATGGAGGGGATGAGGGAGTGGTGCAGGTGATACACAAAGGATCTGCTGGTCTGCACATCAGACTCAATATTCTCTACTACAAGGAGACAGGATATAAGCCCAGTCCATCTGCTTCGTTCTTTGACAGTACATTTCATTCAAAATAAGTACAAGTGCAAAAATCTGTGGTAGTAAATCTACTGCACTTTTCTTATGTCTGACACTAATAACCCAAGAAAAACTATAATAAAATATTTCTGATTTTGAAATTAGCCTGCCACTGTTTGCATGGAAATTTACTACTGGTAAGCCCTTGTTTCTCTATCCCCTTACTCAGCTTTCTTCATTTGTATCTTCATAGCAAGAATCACCACCTAATACTGCATATCTGTATATTATGTGATTATTTTTTCTTTCCTGCTAGAATTAAAACTCATAAAGGTAGGGACATTTTTACCTTGCTGACTATTTTATCTGGAATAGTACATAGCACTTAGTAGGAGCTAAATAATTATTTGACAAATGAATGGATACATTAATTGATGAATTTTATGTCCAAATCTAGGCTGCTTTTGTTTACATAAACCTCTGTTTTCCACTAGTCACATTCTCTGCCTGCTACATGGAGAGAACCATTATTCAGGATTTCAGTTCTGCTCTAAACACTTGGATCCTTTCGCAATCAGGGATCTTCAATTTCTCCACTTGGTGTTTTGCTCAACAAATGAAAGTGCCTTTGAATATTCACATTTGGTCCTCCAAAACCACATCAGCTTTTAGAACAATGTTTCTAGACAATTTATTAGTAACCCTTCAAAGGTGTGCTCCCCAATTTTTATGAATGTGTAATTATATTTAAACTGAAATGACATAATGTTTCTGTGTCAAATATTGTAGAGAAAGTTGACCATCTTTGCATACGCTATTTGCCATTTGAGTTCTTCTGTGAATTGCCGGTTCACCTACTTTCCAACATTGCTATTAGGTTATTTAACTCTTTCTTATTGATTTGAGTAGTACTTTATTTCTTCCCTTGTTTAATATATGTATTTAAAGTATCTAAATATATTTCATGACTATGTTGTCCAACTTTTGTAATACATATCAACAAATATCTACCTGTTATATCCATTTTTAAGAAATACATAAAATGTAATAACTTGTACTTTTCTCACCCTTCTTTGCTTTTCTAAACAGTATTTATGTATTTCAACTTTTTAAAGTTTAAATATAATATACTTAAGTGTAGGTTGTTTTTGTTTTTTTAATCCTGCTTGGTATTCTCCGAGATTTGTAATCGGTGATTCGTTGTCTGTCATTAATTTTGGCAAGTTCTCACCTGGCTTCTACAACATCAGACTCTTGCGGCTTCCTCAGCACCCAGCTTTTGCAGTGTAGAGCAGCCAGCAACACCCAGCAGCTTCGTCAGGCATGCACACCCCCTTTAGCAGTTTTACAGCAGAGAGTGACCACCACCACCCCACTTCCATGAACCTTACAGGAACAGCTTTCCCAACACCCTAGAGGAAGGATTTCTGACAAGTCCCAGAGGGTGGATTACAGCAAACTACCGCTGGAGCAGCAGTTCAACAACTACCTCTCTGCCATTCAGTGAGCCATGGAAGTGCCTCCCTAACAAGGTCTGACCTCACCCTTGGAAAGAAAACTGGAGAAGGCTCCTTCTTGGGTGCTCTATCTTAACCTAGGTGATGGGTTAATATCGAGTGTCAACTTGATTGAATTGAAAGATGCAAAGTATTGTTCCTGGGTGTGTCTGTGAGGGTGTTGCCAAAGGAGATTAACATTTGAGTCAGTGGACTGGGAGAGGCAAGACCCACCCTCAATCTGGGTGGGCACCATCTAATCAGCTGCCAGCACCACTAGGATAAAAGCAGGCAGAGGACCGTAGAAGGACTAGACTAGCGGTCTTCCACCCTTCATTTTTCTCCCTTGCCAGGGGCTCTGAGACCTTCAACCACAGACTGAAGGCTGCACTGTCAGCTTCCCTACTTTTGAGGTTTTGGGACTTGGACTGGCTTCCTTGCTCCTCAGATTGCAGACGGTCTACTGTGGGACTTCACCTTGTGATCATGTGAGTCAACACGCTTTAATAAACTCCCCTTTATACATACATCTATCATATTAGTTCTATCCCTCTAGATAACCCTGACTAATACACTAGGGAAGTAGCCATTTTGTATTATATTATATTATGCACTATTATATCTGCCACTGCTATATTATTTAGAGTTCTCTTTACTTCTTTCTAGCCAATCTCTTATTACTCAGATCTCTTGTTAAGATTCGTATTTCTTTATATTGATCTTTCTCATTTTACATTACTGTGTGATTTCCTCTCTCTCCTGACTAGACCCATACTTATAAACCCATAAAATTTCATTCAGGCACGAATCTAGAATAAAAATTATTCTCAGACATGCAAAGATTAGAAAAATTTGCTTCCAGAATATCCTTTTTTGGATATTAACAGACGGTGTGTCGTAGCAAAATTAGGTAGTCAAAGCAAGTAAGAGGAAGATATCAGATACCTGAAACATTATCTTCTACCAAAGAAAACAATGAAGAGAATCCCAAGATGACATCTGCTCAGCAGTCCTGGAAATCATTTCTTTTAGATTGAAACTAGAGAACTAAGGGCACCAGGAAGTGGATAAACATGATAAGTATGATCCCATAAATTTTACAGTATTGTTGAGATATTCAAAACATCTGAGGATATGATTAAAAAGTAGACTACATATATGAGGGAAAAGAAATTGCAAATAGAACCTTCATAAAAATTAAAAGATGCCCAACAAAGGAAATATATTCTCAATAATGTGCACATACGTGTTTAAAAAATACCTGGTTACAAACAAACCATAAATACTATCGGGTTTGAAAATATTAAAGATAAATTATAAATGCCAGAAGTTGGGATATGAAATAAAGAAAAAAGTAGAGCAGGAAAGAATAGGGTTAGCAGTAGCTTCATCTACAAGGAGAAAACTCAAGAGATCTTGAATATAACTGACAGAATAATAGAGTACTGTGTTTAAAAATACAGGGATTGGCCGGGCGCGGTGGCTCACGCCTGTAATCCCAGCACTTTGGGAGGCCAAGGCGGGCGGATCACGAGGTCACGAGATCGAGACCATCCTGGCTAACACGGTGAAACCCCATCTCTACTAAAAATACAAAAAAAAAAATTAGCCGGGCATGGTGGCGGGCGCCTGTAGTCCCAGCTACTCAGGAGGCTGAGGCATGAGAATGGCGTGAACCCGGGAGGCGGAGCTTGCAGTGAGCCAGTCGCGCCACTGCACTCCAGCCTGGGGGACAGAGCGAGACTCTGTCTCAAAAATAAATAAATAAATAAATAAATAAATAAATAAATAAATAAATAAAAAATGCAGGGATTACCTACAGAGGAACTAAACATAGTAAGATAATAAAATCACAAGAAAGATGTCAGAGACCTAATTTTTGGTGGTTTAAATTATCTGGTTTCATAACAGGAAGTCAATGGATGTCTAAATTAATACCCCCACATACAAAAACATACGCATATTACTATTAAAGTCATTGAACTGGGGATAATGACAGTGGAGGAAAGGAATGGCATGAAGGGCTCTTGTTTTCATTAAAATACATCTCTATTGTTTAATCTTCAAACTATATACTGATATCCCAATAAATTTAAAATAGTAATTGTAAAGTAAAATATCATTCTTACTGAAATATCAAGAATGCTGCAGATGGTGGCGGAATGTTCAATGTGAAAAAGGATAGTGGCTTGCACTAGAATGACAGCAGTGAAGTTTGTTTTAAGCATGTAATTTTATAGTACCAATCTCTTACCTGTGAGAGCATGTAAAAGACTGAGCTCCTCAGTTCTCAAACAAAAGCAGACTTTAACTCCTGCTCCAGCCATGCTTCTTTGCTTCTCAAACATCCAAAACTGCATCTCAGATTGCATCATATTCTGAGCACATGGAAGGAAGAGTACGGGAAATAAGAGTGGCTGTGTTACCACCCTCAAGGAATCCTGACCCCTCAAATCCAGACCTGCCAAGGGGCAAGGAAAAAAGGGAAAGCGGCAGCTCCCTTGAATTTCTAAAGTGCAATGTCCCCACCTACTGGTGAACATGACCCAGTTAACATCCCTACAGCTGTCCATGTCCTCCTAAAACAAGAACCTTGAACTTCTTCCAGTAGTATAGAATCCGTGTCCTTTAGCACAGTTCTACACCAAAAGATAAACAAAATATTAATCCAAAATTTTTACAATGCAATGAGGGTGTGGGAATGATAATTTTAAAACATGCCACACAAGGTTAGTTTTAAAATAACGCCATCGTTAGCATTCCCATTCCCTACTATCTATCTACTCCTCACAGCTTCTGCTCAGATTGTCTTCTCTCCATTGTCTCTTCCATCTCCCTGTACAAACCTCCTCTCTTACACTGCCTTTCCTGCCAACACACTGCTTCCCCATGTGTTAAGTTGGCAGCCTTTTTTCCCTCTCATTGTTTTCTGGCTTCTGATATTTCAGATAAGAAATTTGATTCCAGTCTGGTTCTCGTCCTTTTATGTGTAAACTGTTTATTTCTTTCTTGGAAGCCAATAGATCATTTTTATTACCATTTTATTTTCTGATTGTGTAGTAAAAATTTTCATCCCTCCAGCTACAGAACTATTTGTATATTTTCATGATTCCACTTGATTCCTTTAAATTGCATGAATCTTATCTAGCCAGAGACTAAAGTCTTCCTTTCCTTCAGAAAAAAAAATCTTCGATTTTTTATTGTATCCTATATTTTTTCTATTTTTCCGGCACACCTATTATACAGCAGTTGGAGATGGCTGTATAGATAGAACTTTCTCAACATATTTTCACAATTTTATGTGTTCCAAGGTAGTTAAAACAGGAATCTGATTTCTTTTGTACTTTCTTTCCCACCCTCCTATTTTTTTTAAGACTCAGAACCACTACTTGAACACTCTAATTGATAACTGCTTAGTTATTTCTCACCTGCCTTAAAGAGTGTTTCTTCATTATGCTCAAGAATGAGAGCAATTTAAAATGAAATCATTTTAACCTGTCTCCTCAGAGACAAGTTCTGTTGGCTTCTTTTTTTCCTATGTATTATGTGTTGGTAAAATTTTCCAGTTTCTTTGCATGTCTTGTAATTTTTGTTTAATATTGATATTTTACATAAATTCTGATTCCACAATCCCTAGGAGTAAGTGCTCTTGCTGTTTGTTGTTTGTGTTAGTGACTTGCTTGGGCTAGTTCTTCCAAGTCTGTTTCCCCCTAGTATGCAGCCTATGGTGTCTCTGCTAAGTTTGTTTAATAATTTTTGTTTTCATTATTAAGCCTGATTTCCTACAATCACCCCTGGTCATCATAGCTTAATGTCAGCCTATGATTGATGAAAGATTCTGCTTAAACAATTGAGTCAGTAAGGCTTCCACACTTTGCCATTGAACTGAGTGGGATGTGGGAAATGCTTTCAAAGTTCCGGGACTTTACAGGTATGTCCCAATTTTTACTTTCTGCCTTCACATGTCCTTATATTCAGCCAGGTCTCTCCTGAGCAGGCTTAACCAAGCTGATGCAGACAGCTTTCCACACCACTGGGGATAAATGAGATTTTAGCAAGGCTATTTTTGACTATCTCATTCTCTGGATCTCCCTGGTAAAATTCCTGACTGGCCTGCCATCATGACTTCAAGCTAGTTGAGATGTTAGCCTTCCATAATTATTTGCCCTGAGGTCTATGCTGTTTTCTACAAAACGCCAAGACGTTATTTTGAGGGTGTGTGTGTGTGTGTGTGTGTGCATGCATGTGCGTGAGCTCTTTTCCAAAAAATGTGTGTGAGCTCCCTCTGGCAGGTTAAGAAGAGCTGTCTAATCCCATGGCCTGTCCTCCCACACAGGTAGAAATTCTGCACCATAAGTTGAGGTGAAGGAAGTTGGTGAAAGCATACTCTGGCCAAAATAATACTGATTTTGCTGTTTTTATTAGGATTCAGTTTAGATTCTCTTAACTAAATGCTTCTCAATGTTCGTATCCTTTGGTCAATTTCCAGAGTCTTTAAATGATTGTTTTTGGCAACGTTGTCCAATGTTCTCACTGCTTTTTAGATTCGTTGAAATGTTTTGATGTCAATATATGTGGTATATTTTTATGTATTTTCTACGTGAATTTGAAAATAAGCTGTATATAGCATTTGGTACATACACACTTAGGATTATATGTCTTTTTGATGTATTGACTCTTTTTCATTATGAAAAATTTATCTCCAGTAATATTCCTTATTTGTAAAGTTTTCTTTGTCTGATATTAATGTAGCCACTCCAGCTTTCTTGCCCAGTGTATATTTTTTCATCCTTATATTTTTAACCTGTGTCTTCATACTTAAAATGCATTTCTTATGGACAGTGTATGGTCAAAAGTCTTGCTTATTTATCCAGTTTAGAAATATGCATTTAATGTAATTACTGAAGTACTGGATTTAAGTCTACCCCCTTGCTGCTTTTTGTTTTTGGTCCATCTGTTCTTTTTCTCTTATTCCTCTTTACTTGCCTTTCTTAGTATATTTTTCTCCCTCCTAATGGTAACTGAGTAGAAAGATGTCAGAACTTAGGTCTTTAAGATTTGTGGAACTTTAAAACAATTTTTATTTTATTTTATTTGAGGCAGAGTCTTGCTCTGTTGCCCAAACTGGAGTGCAGTGGCGCACTATTTGTAGAACTTGAGTGGAAAATCCTAAATAAGAATACCACAGAGGAGAGCCCAAAATTCTGCATTTGAAAGAAATTTGCATGCAGAATAGGGGCCCCTCTTTGAGTTTTCATGGTTTTTGGGGATTTTTCTCCTCAATAGCAACTAATTCTTTCGGCACCAAACTCCAACCTCCGTCTTCTCTTCCTGGTAAGACTGCATCTTTCTGCTTGAGCTTTGTTCTACCATCTACTGCTTTAGACTGAAAAGCACTCTCAGGGGAAACTCACAGTAAACGTTGAACTCACCTAGTTACTTTCCTTTTCTCAATATTTATCTCCTGATGTATTCTGCATGCTTCAAAAGATCTCCAATGATTGCAAATTTTTAAGTCATTTTTATAGATTTCATAATTTTTGTTTCTAGAAAGGCTAGACGTAGACATATGGTTTTTAATATAAGTAAGTAGCTATAGAAATAAATGTATAGATGTTTATGTGTATGTCCACAAATAGGATCTTAGACTTTTGACATTCCCATAGCAATGAGCACACTTAACACACAGATCTTGATCTAGCTTTTTAACCAGACTCTTCTAAAAGAACCCAGAGCTATGACAGATTCTAGAGCTTGAGAAAAAAAATAAAAGATGATCATAGAAAGTAAGGATATTTAAGAATGGTGGATACGGCCAGGCGCGGTGGCTCATGCCTGTAATCCCAGCACTTGGGGAGGCCGAGGCAGGCGGATCACGAGGTCAGGAGATCGACAACATCCTGGCTAACACGGTGAAACCCCGCCTCTACTAAAAAATACAAAAAAAAAATTGCCGGGCGTGGTAGCGGGCGCCTGTAGTCCCAGCTACTTGGGAGGCTGAGGCAGGACAATGGGGTGAACCCTGAAGGCGGAGCTTGCCGTGAGCCGAGATCGCGCCACTGCACTCCAGCCTGGGCGACAGAAGCGAGACTCCTTCTCAAAAAAAAAAAAAAAAAAAAAAAAAAAAAAGAATGATGGATACGTGTCAGGTGTCAGAGATAAGAATATGTTCAAAGAATGGTAGATACATGCTCTTTACACAGATAGGCAAAAAATAACCAGAAGAAAGAATGCATACCACAAATACCTAAATCACAATAAATTCAGTTTGATCATATTAATAACAAAAAAAATCTTCATTAAAAATATGTTTTACCAGGAATAAAAATAAAACTTGAGTCATAATGATGGAAAAACCATAAGAAGAACATAACTTTTCTAAATATGTATGCATCTAATAATATGACTTAAAAATAAATGATACAAAAATTGACAGAAATGAAAATATAGATAAATTTGCAATCGTAATTAGAGATTTTTAAATGCTTCTCCCAATAATTGGTAAAAGAAATGAACAAAAAATCAGGAAAATATATTAAACAGTGGAATAGCACTAATAATTAAATCAACCTAACTGACACTTATAAGACATTAGACTAGAATATGCAATGGCAAAATACATATTATTTCAGGTGTACATGAAATATCCATCAAGATGAACAACATACTGGATCATAAATTTAGTCTCAAGAAATTCAACAGTATGCAAACTGGGTAGGGTATGTTCTCTGACCAAAAAAGATAAAAATAAAAATACCTCAACTAAATTAGAAAGCAGCACCAAACTGATAACCTGGAAATCCCCTAAATATACAGAAATTAATCAACATACTACCAAATAAGCCATAGGTCTAAGAGGAAATTACAAAGAAAATTAGAGAATATTTTAAGTGAATGATCATGAAGTTCATTATATCAAAATGTATGAGATAAAGCTGAAAGAGTGCTTGAAGGGAAATTAGTTTCTTTAAATGTATACATCAGAACTGAAGAGAAGTTTAAAATCAATGGTGTGAGCTTCTACCTTAAGAAGGTAGAAAAAGGAAAGCAAACTAAATCTAAAGAAGATAGAAGGTAGAAAGAAGGAATTAAAAAGCAAAGATGTGGAACCAACCCAAATGCCCATCAGTGATAGACTGGATAAAGAAAATGTGGCACATATTCACCATGGAATACTATGCAGCCATAAAAAAGAATGAGTTCATGTCCTTTGCAGGGACATGGACGAAGCTGGAAACCATCATCCTCAGCAAACTAACACAGGAACAGAAAATCAAACACCGCATGTTCTCACTCATAAGTGGGAGTTGAACAATGAGAGTACATATCCAAGTCTCACATGTCTCAACAATGAGAACACACAAGGAGGGGAACATCACAAACCGGGGCCAGTTGGGGAGTGGAGGGAAAGAGAAGGGTGAGCATTGGACAAATACCTAATGCATGCAGGTCTTAAAACCCAGATGATGGATTGACAGGTGCAGCAAACCACCATAGCGCATGTATACCTATGTAACAAACCTGCATGTTGAGCACATGTATCCCAGAACTTAAAGTAAAATAAATAAAAAAAAGAAATGATTAAATGTGGCAAAGACAAATAAAAGAAAGAAGGAATTAATAAAAATGAAACCAGACAACAATGAAACAGAAAACCAGCAAACAGAAAAATTAACAAAGCTGGGCTGGGTGTGGTGGCTCACACCTGTAATCCCAGCACTTTGGGAGGATGAAGAGGGACGATCATTTGAAGCAATTCTCCTGCTTCAGCCTTCCCAAGTAGCTGGGATTATAGGCATGCGCCACCATGCCCGGCTAATTTTGTATTTTTAGTAGAGACGGGGTTTCTCCATGTTGGTCAGGCTGGTCTCGAACTCCCGACCTCAGGTGATCTGCCCACCTTGGCCTCCCAAAGTGCTGGGATTACAGGGATGAGCCACCATGATGGGCCTAAAATGAAATTTTAATTGGCAAGAAGGCAGATGGTGAGAATTGTTGATCCAATAATAACATGAAGTCCATGAAAGCCTGTGGCTACAAAGAATGTTGAGCCATAGATTCCATCAGAGATAATAAAGGGGCCTCGAAATATTCTGAGACTTGTAGAAGAGTGAAATAGACTCCTAAGAGGATCGTGGTAAGTACTGCTTGAATTATTTGTTTTTGGTTACCTTCTATTAGGCTGTGATGGGCTCAAGTAATTGAAACTCCTGATGCAAGTAATACAGACGTATTTAGGAGAGATACTTCTAAAGGGTTCAGGGGAAGAATACCTGTTGGGGGTCAATGTCCTCCTAATTCTGGGGTCGGTGCTAAACTGGAGTGATAGAATGCCCAGAAAAAAACCAGCGAAGAAGAATACTTCTGAGGTAATAAATAGGAGCATCCCGTATCGGAGGTCTTTTAGGACAATTGTTGTGTGGTGGCCTTGGAATATACTTTCTCGGACAATATCACGTCATCACTGATGTATAGTCAGTGTGTTGGTTAGTAGGCCTAAAGTTAAAAGAGTGGTAGAATTAAAGTGAAATCATATGGCCAGGCCAGATGTTATTAGGAGAGCCGAGAGAGCTCCTGTTAGTGGTCAAGGGCTAGGTACAGCTATATGGTAGGCAAGTGTTTGGTGGGTCATTATGTATTATCATGCAAATAAAGACTTACTAATAGTGTGAAGACATAAGCTTGAATAAGAGCAACAGCAAACTCGAGAATAGTTAGTAGAATTAGAATAATAAGAGATACTGAAGTTGCGGAGACACTAATAATTGATAATATTAGCACTGCACTGCGACTGTGGTCGGCGATTATCCCACTTCCAGGGCCAATCAGGCTAACAAATTATTTCAAACCTATTACAACTCCCTACAATGCTTCAAGCCCCAAGGCCCCGGCATTGGAGGGCCTATAACTAAACACACCCCCCTTTTACAATAAGCCTCACTTTGCTTTTCAGCTTCTGAAGGAAATTTCCCTGTAGGATCCTTCACACCTAACCAATGCAACTGCACTATCATTATTAAACACCCCTCTAACCATCAGACTAACCAAGCTGATTACCAAGTTATCACCTGAAGCAAATGGAACGTTTCTGCATCTGGCTTGTTTTACAGCCTATCCCTTAACCAATGCCTCTGAACTAACTTGTGCTGTCCCTGGTTCCTACCTTTTTCCATGGCTCAATATCAATGATGCAACATCCGATCACATTAAACGTGTAAAAAACAACTCTTGCTATATCTCTACTATAGTGGATGTCTCCCTGGCCTCCTCCTTGTCCATCTGGAGTAAGGAACTGCAGGAAAGAAACAACATCCAATCTTTAACACACTTATTCTCTTTCCATATCTCTGCCTGTATTTACGATGAAGGCTTGTTCTTTTTGTGTGGCACCAACACATATCTTTGTCTCCCCACCAACCGGACCGGAACCTGTTCTCTAGTTTATCTTTCTCCTTCCATTGGACTAGCTCCTCCTAATCAACCTTTGTCTATCCCATCCATCCAATATGTTAGGAAAAGGAGAGCCATCCACATCATTCCTTAATGGCTGCCTTGGGTATAACCTCTGGACTTAGAGAGGGAGCAGGTGGATTAGCCACATACTTTAAGGTTCTTTCAACAGAACTACAGGGATCTCTAGAAGATATAGCCTGAAGCCTTGTAAGAGTCCAAGACCAACTAGACTCCTTAGCTGGTGCAGTCCTCCAGAACAGACAGAGACTAGATCTTATAATGGTTGAAAGAGAGGGCATCTGCCTCTAACTGGGTGAGGAAAGTTGTTTCTATCTCAACCAGTCGGGCGTAGTAAGAGATGCTGCCGAAAAACTTAAAGAAAGGGCTGAAAAGCTAAGGGAATACCAACACAACCAAATAGATTCTTAGTTTGGGAACAAAATCATAGCATGAGTCACCCCATTCCTGGGCCCTCTCCTAATGATATGCCTAGGACTAACTTTCTTACCCTGCCTAATTAATCTTTTCCAAAGATTTTTAACCAACAGGATCATGGCCATTTCACAGACAACTACCCAAAAACATCTACAGACGGCATTACTCCTACAGTCAATCTGAGACCAGAAAACTCTCCACACCCCCCTCAGCAGGAATTAGCCAGAAAGAACACACCATCCTCATCCTTTTATAACTATAGGATCTGGATTGACAGAGCAGGAGCATCGCCATTTTGGACATGCACCACCATTTTAAAGTTCCCCTTGATCAAAAGCCACCTAAATCCAACCCAAAGGGCATCAGCCTAATGGCTAATGGCAGCATGACCTTAAACCACAAATGATACCTCTGCCCAGAAACATTCCAACCCTGAGATAAACCCCTCTCCAACCAGAGACATACCAGCCCCAAGATAACCTCCCCTCTGACCGGAGAGATGCCAACCCCAAGATAACCTCCCCTCCAACCAGAGACATTCCAACCCCACAATAAACTTCTTCTCCACACAGAAACATTCAAGCCTTTCGCCCCAAACCCTTAAATACTCTTAGTCTGTAAGAGAGAGGGCTCCTGACTGAAATCAGCCAGAAGCCCTCTCAGGTTTATTCTCCAAAATAAACCTGTCTTTGACTGTTGAGCCACTTTTTGTGTTTCTTTCCTCTTTCTTTAACTCTTTTTTTTTTTTATGCATTTATGTTTTATATACACTTTATACATATAGCAGCCTGAAGGTAATTTTTTTTTTTCAGGTTGTTTTTTTTTTGTTTTTTTTTTGTTTTTTGTTTTTTTTTAATTATACTCTAAGTTTTAGGGTACATGTGCACATTGTGCAGGTTAGTTACATATGTATACATGTGCCATGCTGGTGCGCTGCACCCACTAATGTGTCATCTAGCATTAGGTATATCTCCCAATGCTATCCCTCCCCCCTCCCCCGACCCCACCACAGTCCCCAGAGTGTGATATTCCCCTTCCTGTGTCCATGTGATCTCATTGTTCAATTCCCACCTATGAGTGAGAATACGCGGTGTTTGGTTTTTTGTTCTTGCGATAGTTTACTGAGAATGATGGTTTCCAATTTCATCCAGGTCCCTACAAAGGATATGAACTCATCATTTTTTATGGCTGCATAACACTGTGTGTATCACTATTTGGATTAACATAAATGAGAAAGGAGAGATAGAGACCGTGAACTAGGTAAATGGATGTGCATCATTTGGTGGTAGTAAAAACACAATCTAAATTTACTCCGTGCTCAAGCTCATAAATTATGATTATTGACAACATTACAATTTAGGCTGTTTTTATTTTGTGGAACTTTGTAGATTAACTAAGATTTCATTAATATAGTATTTTATATTTACATGCAATGTAATCCTTTAGTAACCACAAAGTAGGTTGTTGAGAGGACCCATGATGTAATACATATAAAACACTTAGACCTATTTTATGGCATACATAGGCCTCAAATAATGTTATCTAAGGGTATGACTTATATAATCTGTACTTGGGACTCCAGTTTCAATGCCCAAACTCTGGGAACCAAGTGTGGCTTACACTGAACATCATTTTTGCTTAAACTTGTTAGTCTTATACATCTTTACACCAATTCTAAGCATTAAGCTTTTTCTTTATTTTCTTTCTTTCTTTTCCTTCTTTCTTTCTCTCTCTCTCTCTTTCTTTCTTTCTCTCTCTCTCTTTCTTTCTCTTTCTTCCTTCCTTCCTTCCTTCCTTCCTTCCTTCTCTCCTTAATTGTGGGAAAATATAAATAAACTAAAACTCATCATTTTCACCTTTTTAAGTGTACAGTTCAGTGGCATTAAATATATTCACACTATTGTACACAATAACCACCACAGATCTCCAGAACTTTTCCTCATCCCAAACTGGAACTCTGTAACCATAAACAACTCCTTATTCCCTCCTCCTCCCAGCCACTAGTGACCACCATTCTACTTTCTGTCTCTGTTTGATCACTCAAGGTGGTCTCATAAGGTAGAATCATACAATATCTGCCTTTTTTGTGACTGGCTTATTTCACTTCACATAATGTCTTTACATTTCATCTGAGTTATAGCATATTTTCAGAATTTCCTTCCTTTTTAAGACTGAATAATATTCCATTGTATGTTTATACCACATTTTGCTTTTCCAGGCATCCATTGATGGAGATTTGTTTGTTTGTTTGTTTCACCTTTTGGCTACCATTAACGTTTGTGCTATGAACATGGGTATACTAATGTATGTTCAAGTCTCTCCTTTCAGTTTTTTTGGGTATATGACCAGAAGTGGAATCATGGCATCATATGGTAATTGTATGTTTAAAGTTTTTGAGTTATGACTCTACCTTTTTCCACAACAGCTGCATCATTTTACATTCCCGCCAGCAAGGCACAAGGGTTCCAATTTCTCCACATCCACAGCAACACTTATATTCTCTTTTTTCCTTTTGAATAATAGCCATCCTAACGTGTGTATGCACAACTACACATAAAAAAAGTGGTGAATCTCGTAAAAGCAATATTTATCAAAGGAAAGAAACAAATCCAATACATTATTTTATTTATATAAAATTTAAGACCATACACACATTTTTAAAAAGTAAATAATTAGCACAAAATCAGAGTAATGTTTTCCTCCAAGGGAAAGATGGTAGGTAGAAGGTGCACACACAGGGCTTCTGGGAAGCTGGATAAGCTTTTTAGTCTGTGTCATTAATTATTTATTAAACTCTATATACATGTTTATGCAACTCTGTGCTTAAGTTATGTGTCAGTCTAAAAGAAACGCTACTATTAAATCCTCAATTATGAAAATCTTACTCTTCAATCATGAGCTGAAGAATAGCAATACAAGTTGTTGATTGCTCTTCTGGATAGAAATCCAGGATAAGAAATACAAATTGAATTTACTCTGAGAAATTTATCTTTCAAGACATATGAGGTATTTAAATTTAAGAGAGGTGAAGATCCTTTTTACTAATATAAATTTAAGATCCAATTCCCTTCAAAGATGTGGACTTTAGGGAAAAAATTAATTGTTGTTAAGAATTATGGTGATTCTGCTCCATAGCAACTTCATTAAAGGACCTAGTCTAAGTTCAAGATTAAAAGGTTATATGAGGCATATGTGTATGAGCAGGATAGAGAAAAATAGCAAAAATATCTTCTTTTGAACCATGGGACTCTTTGTGAAGAAGTTTTATGGTGGCAAAGCCTCAACAAGAACATCACCAGTGATGTTTTGTGGCAAGTTATATATATCAAAGTTAGTAAAGATTGGAAATTGAATGTGGTAGGCCTCTTGTGTATGACACAAAGCAAGACAATGAGGAAGAAGTAGGTATTTCATGGAAAAACAAAATACCCTGAGAAGAAAATAAAGAGAGAGGGGAAGTGAATTATTGGTATAGTGAGTTACAGAAAGTGGCAAAATAGAGAATTAAAAATAATAAATAAGGCTTTTGTATCCTGCAGCTCAGAAGGATATGTTTGGTCCAGATTTCACCCCTGCAGATAAGCATTGAAAAAGGCATGAATGTGAAAGTGTGGTTTTGAGTAGCTTAATCAAAATTGTTTTCTCTTGAATTTTACATTGACTAAAACAAATCTGGATCTAAGCAAATTGTTTTATATTGTGTTGTGAAATTGTCAAAGATAAAAACTCGTACACTTGTATAGAGCCCTTATCATGAATGGAGCTTGCAGGACTGGAAGTTGCTCTGGGTGAATCAGCGAGTGAGTGGTGAGTGAATGAAGGTCTAGGCCTTTATTGTACACCATTAAGTATTTCGTAAACACTGTACACAGCCTACACTAAATTACAGAAAAAAAGTCTTTCTTCAATGATGAATTAACCTTAGTTTAGTGTACCCTTTTTACTTTATAAACTTTCTGAATTATTATAAACTTTTTGACTCATGTAATAACACTTAGCTTAAAACACAAACACACTTAGAGTTATACAAATGTATTTTCTTTCTCTATATCTTTATTGTTTAAACTTTTTTCTAAACCTTTTACTTTTTATACTTTTTTTTTTCTAAACAGTTAAGGTTCAAACACACACGTTAGCTCAGGCCTACACAGGGTCAGGATCATCAATATCATTGTCTTGCACTTTCCCATTTTGTCCCATTGGAAGGCCTTTAGGGGCAATAACACAAACACACATGGAGCTGTCACTTCCTATGATAACAATGTTTTCTTCAGGAATACCTCCTTAGGGATCTACCTGAGGCTGTTTTATGGTTAATTTTCTTTTTATAAGGAAGAGTACACTCTAAAATAACAATAAAATGCACTTAGCTGGTGCAGTCCTCCGAAACAAAGACTAGATCTTATAATGGTTGAAAAAAGAGGGCGTCTATATAGTGTATAGTATAGTATATACATATACCAGTACCGTAGTCATTTGTTGTCATTATTGAGTATTGTGTACTGTACATAATTGTATTGCTATACTTTTATGTGACTGGCAGCACAGGAGATTTGTTTGCGCCAGCATCACCACAAACTTGTGAGTAATGCATTATGCTACAATGTTACAATGGCTATTATATAGGGATAGGAAATTTTCAGCTCCATTATAATCTCGTGATGACCAACTTATATATGTTCCTTCCTTGACTGAACTGTCGTTATGTGGTGCATGATTGTATTACACTGTGAGCTCTGGGTCCCATTAAAATTCTAGGAGAAGGTTGAATTTTTTGTTTTAGCAAGAACTAATCTCATCAAGTTTAGAATGCAAGCTGTATCTCGCTTTCTGTGCGCCGTAGTTCTAACGTCATTATAGTTTTCAAAGACTTTGCCATGCTGTTCGTGCCTGCCCTGTGCCTGGGCCTCTCAGCCACTAGTCTGGCACTAGGACTGTGATATTTGTATCATAGTTCAGCTCCTAATGGCTTTGATATGCTGGTGTGAAACTGTCCCCCTCGTGCGGCTTGGGGAGCCCAAGACCCTGAGAGTTATGATGGTTCATGTATAGAATTAGGGATCCCTTTCTCTCACTCTCTCCTCTGAGATTTTTCCCACACTCTCCAGGTCCCATAGGTCCCTCTTACCGGTTCCTCTGGCCAGAAAGGTTGGTTTCTCTCAAAGTATTGTCATGTGATTCTGCACAACTGGGGCTTCCCTTGAGGCAAAGTGGGAAGAGAAAATTGAGCAAAAATATAAAGGGAAATACCCCATATTCCTTAGGCCACAGGGTTCCTTTTCCCTAGTTCTTTTGGGATGTTTCTTTCAGAGTTTTTGATGGTTCCACCACAGCAGCCTTAGTACAGCTTCCTGATTCTGACCACACTCAGGGAAGAACTAGAAGTGAAAAAAGAAGTAAAGTTCCAAAAAAGGAATATTGCTCCACACACTCTCTGGAGACCCCCTTTGCAATCTGTACAGAAAGAGGAGGTGTCTCTTGGAGTTTCTTCTCTCTGCTCTCACTGCACACTACATGTCTGGAGTTACCTTCAAGTCAAAGCCAGGAGACAAAAGAGGAAAAACCCTAGGAACTCACTCCCTTACTATTATTTCTCCAAGTTCTGACTTCCCTCCCTAATATTCATGCTATTTTGTACTTTTCAAGGTCCACAGATAGCTGCCTTTTATATTCTGCCTGATGTTTCCCATTATAATTAGTGTAAGATACAGACTATAGTGGGCTTATTCCAACTTGGCCGTCACAGAAAGATCCTCTTCAGCTTTGTTGCTGAAGGATGTTTTTCTGATTTTAGAATTCTAGGTTTGTGTTAGGGGTAGAAGTTTTCTTAGCGTATTTTAAGGTTTCATTCCATTTTCCTCCAGATTCCAAAGTTTCTATTGAAAGTCAGCCTTAACCTTTTTTGTTCTTTTTTTCCAAAGACAAGACACTTTCGTCTCTGGCTGATTTAAACATTTTCTCTTTATCTTTGGTTTTGAGCAATTTATTATTTTTTTTTACATATGGTTTTATTTCACTAGTCTATGATTGAGGTTGATAAGTTTCTTGTATCTGTGTTTTGACATCGTTAATCAGTTTTGGAAAATTTTCTGCCATTATCTTTTTGTTTTCTCTGCTGCACTCTTTATCCTTTATTTTTATGTACAATTGTAAGTATATTTGACCATTAGATAATGCCTACATGTCTCTGATGCTGATATCTTTCTTCTTCATTTTATCTTGTGCTATGCTTCAGAGTAGATGCTTTCTATTAAACTGTCTTCAAGTTAACTATTACTGCATTTGCCTGTGACCAGTCTGCTGTTAAATTCACCCATTAAGTTTTAATTTTAGATGATGTACTCTGATTTCTTTTATTTAGATTCCGTATCTAAAAGATTCCACATTCATATTCTTTTTTAGATTGTAAATCTTTTTCTTTACTATATATTCCTTGATATTTATGAATATATGGTTAAATAGAGTTAATTTAAAGCTCTTTTGTGCTAAGTGATTAAGTCTAGAAAGAGCTTTGTGTCTCCCAAAAAATTGTTGGTGAGGCTGTTGGCATTCAGAGTATCATGGGATCAAATATATAAAAAGCTCACAACATTTTTTATTCAGCTGTATTGGTAAAACTGCCACCAGTCTGGACTGAAAGAGACTGAGGTTTAAAATGTAAAAGGGCAATGGATCTGCAACTCTCTATGTAAAAGAAACAGGCTGAGAAAGTTGTTCAAAGTGCCGATCATCCTATGTGCTCTTTAAAGGTGGCCAAGGAGGGAAACAGAAAAGGAAGTACTTTTCAAAGGGAAGAGCACAGAATTCTGAGGACAGGTAGACTAATGAGAAACTCCCAAGGAAAGGAGTCAGGGGCTAACCAAGGAATATTGTCCACCCCTAGAGGGGATGTGCAAGGCAGCATTTGTTCAGTGGAATTTCAGAATTGCCAGGGATCAGTGACTGTTAAGTCCCCCATTCTTTCCGTTTTTGAATGGGCATGTTTACTATCATTATCCTGACCCAGTTTCAGCACTGTGTATTGAGTGCTGATGGAAAGACAACTTTGTTTCTATTGTTGTGGCTTGTATGTCTTAGAATTAACGAAAGAGGAGGCCGGGCGCAGTGGCTCAGGCCTGTAATTCCAGCACTTTGGGAGGCTGAGGCAGGTGGATCATGAGGTCAGGAGATGGAGACCATCCTGGCTAACACGGTGAAACCGTGTGTCTCTACTAAAAATACAAAAAATAAGCCAGGTATGGTGGCACACGCCTGTAATCCCAGCTATTCAGGAGGCTGAGGCAGGAGAATCACTTGAACCCAGAAGGCAGAGGTTGTGGTGAGCCGAGGTGGCGCCACTGCACTCAGTCGACAGAGTGAGACTCCATCTCAAAACAAACAAAAAAAAAAAAAAAAGAAAGAAAAAGAAAGAAAGAAAGAAAAAGAAAGAAAGAGAAAGAAAGAGGAAAGAAACACATGAAAAGGTGGCTCACCAGTCACGGCACACTTATTTTAGAGAAAACAAACCTGAGAGGCGCCTTCTGGCCGAGTTAGGTCAGAGGCACGCTCTCTTATAGACTAAGTTTTTTAAGGATTCAGAGTGGGAGAGTTTATCCAAGGCTTGGACTGCTTCTGTGTCTCTTTGTTGTGCTTATCTAGGAGGGAGAGTTGTGTGTCTGTTCCCATACATCTTTTTTGCAGCTGCAGGCATATCCCCAGAGTCTGCTTTTAGCTTCCCTATCTTAGTGCACCTGAAGGGAAAGGAATGTGCTTATTAAGGCCCACTGTTTTAGGGCCCATTGTATGAGGGTGAAGTTTGGCAGTTACCCAGGGGACCTTCCCCCAACCTTTCTCTGTGCCCAAACTCTCTTATCTGTGTTTTACTGTCTGCTCTTTCTGGCTATTTGTAGTTAGAAGAGAAGTGATTTCCTTGAAATGCATGAGGCTAGAAAGGGAGCTGGAATTTAAAGTGGCGGTGTTTGTCCGAGATGACAGGGCTCCAGCTCTATCAGTATGTTTCTGGATTAAGGAGAACTGCATTCTGACCTGCATCCTGATTGTGAGATTTTGAACTTGATGGCTGATGCCATGATTGCATGAGACTTCTGGTGATCCCAGATTAGGGGTAAGCATATTTTTCATATTGGAAGAATATGAAAAATTGTAGCAATAAAAGTGGACTCTAATAGATTATGATGATGATCCTAATTCATCATCCCTCCCTATATCCACGCCCTTTGCAATCTAACTTTACTATGCTCTCCCATTATGGATGGGTGACTTGAATTGCCTCTCAACATTAGGCCTAACCATGTGTTCCTCTACAGCCAAGGAGTTATTAGCAAATGTCACACACTCTGGGCCTTGAAATTGGCGTATGTATTGGAGCTAACATTTTGCTTGCTTCTGCATTGCCATAAGGACATTTCTAGGCAAGTCCACCGGCCCTAAGAAGAGGATGAGAGGCATGTGAAGAAGAGTCCACCTTGGATACATAGGTGAGCTTGGCCAAGGTTAGCAGTGCCACCTAGCTGACCCAGACATATAAGCATATTGTTATCTGCCACTGGTGATTTGTGTTGTTTGTAATGCAGCATTGTTGTGACAACAGATGACTAATACACTAACTAATGTACCTTTTAAAATGTTGTCTATGATCTGTTCCTGCACCACTAAAATATACGTCCCATGAGGACAGGAATAATTTTTTCTGCCTTATTTCTGTTGTATCTTTAGTACCTCCAACACTTTCTGGCACAAAGCAGTTTTCTCAAATATATATATACACACATATGTATATATGTATATATATATTTAAACAGAGTCTCATTCTGCTGCCCAGGCTGGAGTGCAGTGGTGCAATCTCATTTCACTGCAACCTCTGCCTCCCAGGTTCAAGTGATTCTCCTGCCTCAGCCTCCCAAGTAGCTGGGATTACAAGCATGCACCACAACACCTGGCTAATTTTTGTATTTTTAGTAGAGACAGGGTTTCACCATGTTGGCCAGGCTGGTCTCGAACTCCTGACCTCAGGTGATCTGCCTGCCTCAGCCTCCCAAAGTGCTGGGATTACAGGTGTGAGCCACCACGCCCAGCCAAAAATATTTTTAGTGAATAATGAATTTCAAATTTTAAAAACCTTCTTATGAAAAGACCTCTTGGAGAGTTTAATGTACATACATATTCCAGAGTTTGGACAATTCAGTAGATTGGTACCTGGGGTATGCTGAAGAATGCTGAAGTCCAAGAGTCAACTTAGCTACATGTTTTTGAAACAGAAAAAATTCCCTTGTTCCCCTTGCAGGGAGTGCGATGTGGCTCTCTTCTCCAGTGCCCGCTGCTCAGACCTCCAGGGGAGCATACAGATGGTCAGGCTGTGAGGCTCTGATCCCACAGCAGTGTCTGGGGGTGAATGTTTACAGCTCCTGAAGCCCCAGTGGGTGTGTTCCTCTGCTGATGTGCTCTCTCTCAACGTCCAGCAGCTTCTGTCCCTGCCTTGCTAGGGTCTCAGGTTTTTATAGGCACAGGATGGGGCATGGCAGGCCAGAGTGGTCTTGGGAAATGCAACATTTGGACAGGGAATGCCTGTTCTCACCTAGGTCCGTGGGGATGGAGCCCTAGCCAGGGACCATACCCTCCTCTACCCAGCACTTCTGCTCCCTGCTTCCCTATCATTTAAAGGGACCACACTCTTGCCTTCCTAGCACTCACGTACCATTTTCAAGCAGAGAAAAGAACAAGTAGCTACACTAGGATTTGCCTGACTTCCAGAAGGAAAGAGATTCATCTTTCCTTGGCAATCGACATAGACCAAAAGTAAGGGAAAGGTCTGGGGTCTGCTTGTCTTAGTATCTCAAGGCAGCCTCCAAGAGAAACAGATCATAGAAGAAAGAGGCTGCTAGTATTCCAGAGTGCCTAGTGACTGAGAATTCCATGAGAATGGAGATGCAGTAGCCCTCACCGGGCTCTGAACTACGGGAGTGTGGATTCTCAAAGAATTCATGAAAATGTTCACAATAGAGTCTTCTTATGCATCTGTTTTCCCTAGAGCATTCAATTCAAGCACATGAAGTATCAGGCAAGTAAAAACTGTCCTCTTCTGCTCTTCATGCCTCAACTCACAGGGGTCTGAAACTATATCAAGTAGAAGAAATAGAAGCACAAGCTGTAGAAACAAAAGAAGCTAATTTTGCACCTTCACTGTTTGTGAGCTTCTCATCTGCAACACTCTTGAATAGGCAAGAGTGTGAGGCCTCAGTTTTGAATAAAATATAGAAATTTGACTATTGAATGGGACTAATTGAATACCTTTCTTTTTTTACTTAAACATTATCAGAGAGGTTATGAAGACTTCCTGAATGCTCATTCAAGGTAAGGAATTGGCTAACCCCAAAGAACACACTGAAAAGAAAAAATGATGATAGGATTAAATTAAATATGTTTTATTACATTGCATCAGTTTAGATGTTCAATATATTCTTTTTTAATAAAGAAAAGTTTATTTGGCTAATGATTTTCAGGTTGTACAAGAAGGATGGCACCAGCATCTGCATCTGATGAGGACCTCAGGGTGCTTCCACTTGTGGCAGAAGAAGGGGAGCCAGCATGTGCAGATACCACACGGCGAGAGATGAAGGAAGAGAAAGAGGAGGAAGGTTCCAGGCTCTTTTTAACAATCAGACCTCACAGGAACTAATAGTGTGAGAAGATGTTTAACATATTCTAATAAGATATTCCTAATAAACTGCCATGAGATAACTGCTGTATTAGTCTGTTGTCATGTTTCTAATAAAGACATATCCAATACTGGGTAATTTATAAAGGAAAGAAGTTTAATGGACGCATAGTTCCACATGGCTGGGGAGGCCTCACAATCATGGTGGGAGGCAAAGGAGAAGCAAAAGCATGTCTTACATGACAGCAGGCAAGAGAGAGCTTGTTCAGGGGAACTCCCATTTATAAAACCATCAGATCTTGTGAGACTATTACAAGAACAGCATGGGAAAGTCCCACTCCCCTGATTCAATTACTTCTGACTGGAACCCTCCCAAGTCACGTGGGAATTATGGGAACTACAGTTCAAGATGAGATTTGGGTGCGGACACAGCCAAACCATATAAACTGCAGTTTATTTTTTAATTATGACTCATATCATAAAGAAAAAGGGTTGCTCCAATAATCTGTACCCCATTTCATATTCATAAGGAAAAGATTCTTTTATTGGCTAATTGTTCATGTTTAAATAAAAATCTTATAATTTTACAAGGTTTTGCCTTTTACACTTGATGCTGAAATCAAGAAGTCTTTTAAAAAATAATTTTCTTTTAAACTTTGAGTACAGCTTTTCACTAGGATTGCCAACATGATGAAATGAAGATTTCTCTTATTTAAAGAATATATTAAAGTGTTTATTATTAATTACTCTTTTAATGTAAAGATTTTTGTCTTTTGTGGTAATTTGACTTGTTTTGGTTTGGTTTCCGTTTGATACTGAGGATGAAGGGAAATTAGAGCAGAATTGCTTATTTACATTATTTCAAACTTCCAACCATGAAAGGAAAAGGTTTGGGATCTTGTTTGTAAAGCCAAGTGTGTGTGTGTGTGTGTGTGTGTGTGTGTGTGTTTGAAAGGGGCTTATTTACACTGGGTTTTACTTTGGTATGGAGGTAACTCTTATCCAAGTGTGGTTGGTTCGAAAGACAAGTAGGGATGATAAGAGGCTGCTTGGCACTAAGGATTTAGGTAGAGTTGGGGCTGAGTCATGGTTGTGTGGAAAGCTAGGATCATGGTTGGGGATGGAAGGAGGCTAAATCTGCTACACAATTTGAAACTAGGGCATGATAGTGTGACAAAGAAGAGATAGAGCTTGAAATAGAAGTAGTTACTTATTTAGCATGTGTATTAATTACTATATGATTAGTTCAGTGTCATCTGACTAAAATGGAGATTAATGTACTAATGATTAATTTATATGGGTTTTGTTTATATTATTATCTAATACAGGCTATGTAATAATCTAAGTTAGAGAGACAGTGTTTTATGAGACAAATAAGGTTGCTGCTATCAAAGAAATCAAATAAATGAAGAATGATTATCATATAGTAATGAGTGCTCTCTGAGGAGAAAAACAAAAGTAATTGGGAGTGATTGGAGGGAACTTCTTTAGGTTGAGTGACTAGAAATTGTTACTCTAGAAATACTCTATTTGAAAAGAGACCTGAATGCTAATAAAAAGCCAGCTATTCAAAATCTATAGCAAACCACTCCACACAGCAAGAACATAAGTGAAAACTGCTAATGAAGAAACAAATCTGCATATTAGAGAAACAGATAGGGAGTTAGTGTACTTAAGTTTACTGAGCGGCAAAAAGAATGTTATATTGTGGAATAAGTAAAACCATGGAGAAAAACACATTGTAGAAGAGCTACTCGGATTGCCCTGTGATTTTCTGGAAACTTCCTGGCCACAGCCGACTGAAAGGGACATTGTGGTAATGCTGGCTTCTCTAGACTGAAACCAAAGCCTATGACTTGAAAGATTAAAAAGAGATAATGAGCTTACCATTCATTAAAGAAAGCAAGCCATAAAAATAGCTTAAAATATGGAATAAGAGACAGGCATGTCAATTATTTCTCCTTGGCACTGGATTAACAAAAAATTGTTGTTGGTGGTGGTGGTATATTAAGTAGAAAAGGTCTATTGGGCCTAAAAATTATTGACATGTACATTATCTATTCTGTAATGAGGCCATCCCTCCTAGTTTCCACTGCAGAGGATTGGATCTGGAAATTGTGTTACTAAGAAAAATGCAGGAGAAGGTTTGAGTGTCCCTATTCCCATATGTAGTGGATTGTCATGCAACATACCTCTCAACCTCTTCTGGTGCATTTCTCCTGTACTGCAAAAGATGTGCAAATGAAAAGAACATTTCCTGGATAGCATTTGATGTCATTTAGATTTAGCCAATTAGAGGCATTCTGGTAAATTCTGGACATGCTGAAGGTCTTTTTTTTTTTTTTTTTTTGACCTGAAAAGGCACCAGTGTAGGGGTGCCTTATTTTCTGTGTCAGAATTAGGAGAGATTTTCATGTCTGATAACTGACTTCATGGATATAAAGAGGCAGCATGCAGGGTGTCTGTTACTGGTGCAGATTGTAGCAGGTGATCGTGGGGGCTTACTGAATGGAGGAGCTTCCCAAATATGGCTGTTCTGGGCAGCATGAGTTCCTGATTGTAGAAGAGGAGGTGGTTTCCTTGGTTGCCTGATTCAGTTCCTTCTATTGTCCTGATGATTCTCTAAGCTATATTAAGGTCTGTAATAAACTCCTTTCCGCTCAAAATCAACTAAGGTAAATTTTGTTCTCTGTAGCTATTCAATACTCCATGTCTACCACTTGAACAGACAGAATAAAAAACCTTTTTGATGGCAATTCAACACCCTCTTCTGTAATAAATAAATAAATTGTGACTTGAACTCCTACTCTAGTTGGCACTATATGTAGGAATATGGATTCTGGGTTTGTGTCTGTTTTCAGTGATCATTTATTACCTTGATCAGAGGGAGTCCTCAGCATCTTCACCCTCAAGGCCAAGACACGAAGACCCTCCTCCCAATTGCCCCTGAAATTGATCTTCTTCTTGGGAATTTTCGTTCAGCACACTGAGTCCCAATGGGTAACTGATTGCCTCTTTATTTTTTCATGGAGAACCAGAACAGAATGGAAGACTTGAGCAACATCAAAGAGTTAGCTATATTTGAAATCCATATAAAACTTACATTTTGAGTAATGAATAGGATACCATAGAGAACCCATCTCTTCTTGACATGTTTTCCCTGGTTCATAGAAATTAGATAGTAATTATTTTCTCTTGTTTCTGGCATTAAAAACCTAAGACAAAGTCTTAGAATAAGAACTTCAATATTGGCATATCCGGTGGGCTCAAAAACAAAACAAAAATGGCAGCTATAACATCTACTAGGTGTTTATTGTATGTCCCTTCCAATGCAGTACAGACAGAAAAAGAAGAAGCTATAAAGTTTGAAGAGAAAGAAACGCTATCATTTTTAGCAGATGTTATAACTAAGTACAAAAGAAATACACAAAATAATTTCAAAGGTAGACTATGCAATTGATAAGAGTGTGTAGCGAGATTGTTGATTTGAAGGTCTTGTATGATAAAGCATTGTATTTCTGTAGAAAATACAATATTGAAGATTTTTAAACTACCATTTTAAACAACATCATTTCATATTCATAAAAGGGAAATGTGGAAAACACAAAAGTTAATACTGAATAATAATGATGGAATTCTGCCTTATGAAAATATTACCACCACTACCACCATATATGTGTCAATGGACAAAAATAGCCAAGAAAATTTTGCAAAGGAAAATCAAGAATGAGGAAGAGGACACCCTAGATATCAAAGTATATTATAAAATAATAATGTGTGATATTGGCACAGCAGTACCAAAACTTTCCCAAGAAAGGACGAAAGATTTGAGAGACAGGTGAATTCCTGAAGAAAAAGTCATCATGTAGTCAACCAGCAAATATTTATTAAGCACCTACTGTATACCAGGCAGTGTTCTAGGTACTTAGAATATTGTTGAACAAAATAGACAAGGTCTCTCTTTTGATTTTATACTCTAAATAAATAGATGAATAAATGATAATGATAGATAATAATTGTAGATCAATAGATTGACAGAGACCAGAAAAATAAGAGATTATATGTTTATATTATGATCAATTAAGTGAAAACAAAATGACCAGGTAGAATAGACAATTTCATTGAACTGATTTGTTGGGGTTTAACTGGCATATTTCATTTCTTCAGTAAACAAGCTGATGCCCGTGACATGCCAACAGCTCACAGCTGTTCTTTGGCCTTCCTGTATATTTCTGCTTCCATTAGTTGAGTTTAACGTTTGCCAAAAGTTGCTGGCGTTTGCTCACAAATCTGTTCATCTCTATTGACTTGTTATTGTAATCATATATTTAAATAAAGTAAATATTTCATTATGAATTAAGAATGAATTTTAAAAGGGAAATTTTAAGTTCTTAAACCATTAAATGCTTTGGAAATAATAAAGATAAGTTGTCTAATAAAATATTATTAAATTGGATATAGGTAAAATAACTTTTAAAATGGAGAAAATGAGGTGAAAATCTAAAGTGTTTCTAAATTCAGAATTCTTTGTAATGTTTCACTCTAAATTCTCATAAACTTTTTAAAAAACTAAAATTTGATATGATAGAAAGTTTGTTATGGGTGTTGTTTAGGCATTTAAGATAACCTAAAACTCTAAACAACAGACACATTTTCCAAGTGAAGGTTTGGTTCTATGTCAACATACTGCCAAACAAATATACATGTATACATGTATTTACTTAAGTTAAAATAAAATGTTTACCACATTATATATTTACAAATCATTCTAATTATTCTCAACTGCAATTGACTTTTAAAAATAATTGTTCAACTACCAGGTCTTGCAATTGAATATATGGCTTTCACAAATGTGATAACTGATATGAAGAAAATTAATATTTAACTAAGAATAACTGAGTGGCAACTCCAAATTTGGTCATCAGGAAAATCTTTTCTTAGGTTATATTTAAGCTGAAACAAAAATAACATAAAGGAGCTAGAAATAAGACAATGTACATGTAACAATCAGGAAAAGAAATATTCCGGGCAGAAGGAACCATCCTAACGTAGACTAAACCTGAAATGTTAAAAAAACAGAAATGAGGTCAGTGGCAGAGATGGCTGGATTTCCACCAAAATTTGTGCACTCCTCCTCCTGCTGCTTAGTGATATTGCTCAGAAATGGCAGTCCAAGTAAGGACTCCACTTTCACGCTTTTTCATCTAGGTGGGGTCACATCACTAGTTCTCATCATGAAATGTGACTGAAAGTGAAGTGTGTTGCTGGCACACCAAGGAATTAAGTAATAAGTGTGCCTTCTCCACCCTCTCTCTTTTGCCTTTCATCATTGGAAGCAGAGAGCAGAAAGTCCAGTAAAAGAGCAGAATCACAGCATGTGAAGGGCCTGGGTTCCTGAGTCACTATGTGGAGAAAAATATCTAGGCTATTAGCAATCTGGCAATGGACTGTTATGTGAATAAGAAGAGAATGTCTATTTAGCTAGTCCCCTGAAATTTTTATCTTTATTCCGTATAGCAGCTGGTGTTACCCAAACTAATAAAATGAGACAGTTAAAAGGTAGACAGTGAACTCAGTAGTAAGGGCAAAGAGCAGATCACAGAAGATTTTATTAGCCAGGCAGAAGATTTGATTAGCCAGGTAAGAAATCTAGGTTTAATTCTAGATGCTATAAGAAAACATGTGAGGTGTTTAATCATGATACAGATGTGGTATAGATTAAGTTTTATAAACATTTCTAGCAGTTGTGTGGAAAATGAACTGTAGGAATCAAGAAGGAAGTAGGGCGATGGGGTAGGAGGCTATTTCAACAATTCAGGAGGAATACGGCAGTATGTTAAAGTCAAGTGGCTACAAAGAAGATGAATAAAATGGACTAGGTTGAGAAATATTTTATCATTTAATTGATAGAATTCACCAACTGGCTGAATGTGGAAGTTGAGAATGTGACAAATCAAGGATAATTCCTCCTTCCCCTGATGCCTTTCTGTTATTTCTTTTATTAAATAAAACCAGTGATGTAAACTAAAAAGTGTGGAAGAAGCTAAAGGCAAGATACTCCCACACATCTGAAGTCATAGATAGGTAGGATCTAGTATTTCATAACTGTCCAATCTGATTATTTAAACCTTAAATAGGGGCAGGACTCCAAGAGCTAAGCTGCTATTGACTCCTCATTAGAAAACCTTAATAACAGAGCATCTTGGGGATCTATACCTGAAAATGTTCATAACAAAAGAGACTCACATGGACATGACAAATCTCAAATGATATTGATATCTGCCCTAATTTTGCCAACCATATTTTCCTTGATGACTCCCTCCAAAATAGACAGTAGTAGCAGACACATGTTGGGGACTGTGTGTGAGGAGTGCCCTGTTACATAACTCCAGCTGCTTTTGCATTTGGGTCCTAGTGACTCATTCTTTCTCCATAAGAGATTACATCCCCATGAAACAGCAGCGGGCAACAGATTTCACCTAGCTTTTCAATATCTCATCACATTGGGCAGAAGTGATCGTTGATTATGGTTTCATTGTGGTTATGTTATTATTTCCACCTGTATTGAAGGTGGATTTATCTATTATTTCATCATAGTTTGTAGGACCAATAAGAGCCATGTTCAAAGCAGTTAAGGAGAAATTCATATCACCAGAGTTCCTGGAGTTGGAGGTTTTTATAATTTGGGATTTTCTCATTTTAGAATGGGACAAATGAAGCTTCAGTTGTATAAGAACTACATATATTATACTAAAAGGGAGCATCTTCTGAATTTTTTAATATGAAAAGGAACAGAGAGAAACAGAGAGAGAGAGAAAGAGGGAGAGAGACTTCATATATAAGAGCCTTGTATAATAGATTATGATAGTTATTATTTTTATTGCCACTACTATTATGACCTATCCAGCCTTGGTCTTTTTCCATCTTTGTTTAGGAAAAAGAAAATCTGTATTCCTGACACAGAAGTGGGTTCAAATATAAGGCCTGGTTAATCAGAGTCCCACATCCCATGGCTAAAGTGATTGGTTGAGAAACTGGAATGCCACTCAAGCTAAGCTTTCGTCAGATTATCAAAATGGAGCTGACATGTTTGATCTGTTGCTATTCAGACGATGAGCTGAAAATATGAGATGTCCATCTTCATAGCCATGTAGGAAATGTTTGACTTCCATAGGAGAAAATAAGGGTAATCAATAGGAAAAAAGCCGAACTCAAAGAGACCTACACAGAGAACACAAGCAAGAGACAAAGAAATACATACACACAAAGAGAAACAAAGACTGAAAGATGCAGGGAAATAAACAACATAAACATAAAATATAGACAAAGAAAAAGACAATGGACAGATGGAATGACAGAGAAAAAATGGCAGTGAGGCACACAGGCCAGTAGAGAGATGGAAGGGGGGAAAAGAGGTGGACAGAGAGACAACCCAAGAGGCAGATAATAAATTATATATATACACACACATATATATGTAAGAGAGAGTCACAGAGAGAAAAAGAAACAGCGATTCAGAGAAATGGATATAAGGGGAAATGCAAATCGAAGAAAGACAGAAAAGCTATCAAATATATTAATGGGGAGGAGGTCTTTCAGACAGAGATAGAAAAGAGATTTGAAGAGAAAGGAAGAGAAAAACAGTCAGAGAGAAATATAGAGTAGAATGAAACAGAAGTGCACAGACAGAAGGGAATGAGGGCAGAAGGGGGAGAGAAGGGTCAGAGAGAGAGAGGGAGGGAAATGAAAGAGAAGAGAGAAAAAGGTCCCATTTGTGTCCAGTATCTAAGCATTTTTCAGAAGCTAAATTCACCTAGAAACTTTGATTGCATGAGCCCCAAAATTAATTTTTCCCCTTAAGATGGTCTAACAGAGTTTCCATTATAAGCAACCAAAATACTACTTTCTAATAAAACCTCCATTGGTAATTATACAATTGGGTAGGTTGGATGGAATCAACAATCATTGTCTTTTGCCCTGAAGAACACGGTGTACTCACCAGAAGATATTTGTGGTGCCGTTTGGTTAAGTTATGGCATTAGGTACCATGACTGGTGCAAAACAATTCTACTTGCACAAATAAGTGAAACTAATCAGACTATTGCAGAAGCCAGGAAAGACTGCTGCACACAATCCCAACTTCCAAGCCCCACTGATGATGGAAAATTAAATTTATTTCATATCTCATTTCACATTCTTATGTAGCACCTGACTTAGACCAAGTATGGGGACTCATGATTTTTGAGTGTCCTTGCCTGGACATTGTCTTCTTTGGGGGTCATAACTGAACTAAAGTTCTAGAATCTGATCCCTTTCTTAGCTCAATGTTTCCCACCAACACCACTACCCTACTCAATCAGAATTAGAAACACAAGTGACTCACAAATCTATTTAATTTTGAAAAACTATTGAATTATAAGAAGTTTGACATTTAGTTCATGATCAGTCTTCAGAAACAGAAGAAGGTAGTAAAAGCTTATGAAAGTACTTATGATCCAAACAGGGACAGCAGACAGCAGAGAGCAGAGCTCTCATTATCATGGTAGTGAGCAAACATTTAGGAAATTTCTTGCAGGCAGGAATTTAGGAAAGACAAGAACAAGCAACAACCTGGCAGCCACTTCTCAGTCACCATGGGAGTCATGTCCTGATGGGTGACACAGCTGGCAGAAATGGCCTGCTCACAGGCCTGACAGAAGAGGAGCTGGGAATTACAGACAAGAGTAAAGCCAAGACAAGACAAGAAAGAGGTGACAGATCCCAGAAAGAAAAATGTTTGCAGTCAATGCGTGAGCCCTCTAAGAGACAGAAGAAACAATCACATGTCACACCAACCCCTGAAGAAACACAGTCCCTCCCTCCCTTGGGGCCTCTCTGCAGTTGTCAGGACACTAAGGTTGAGCTTATGTCAACACCTGCTCCTCGTTACCTTTCCTGGTAACTGAGTAGAGATGGCAACAGGAATGCCTCTTTTTATTGTGCTATGCTTTGTTGTGCTTCTCAAATATTGTGGTTTTTTAAAAATTGAAGGGTTGCACCAAGCAAGTCTATCAGCACCATTTCACCAACAGCATGTCCTCACTTTGTGTCTCTGTGTCATATGTTCGTAATTCTTGTAATATTTCACGTTTTCATTACTATTACATGCCGATCTGTGATCAGTGACGTTTGATGTTACTGTTGTAATTGTTTTGGGGCACCATGAACTGAACCCATATAAGACAATCAACTTTATTGTTAGATGTTGTGTATGTTCAGACTGCCCCACTGACCAGCCATCCTCTCTCTCTTTCGCCCTCTCCTCAGGCCTCCCTATTCCCTAAGAACACAAGAACATTAAAATTGGGCCAATTAGTAACCCTACAATGGCCTCTAAGTAAAGTCACTTGTCTCTCACTTTAAATCAAAAGCTAGACATGATTAAGCTTAGTGAAGAAGACAGGTCAAAAGCCAAGATGGGCTAAAATCTAGGTCTCTTGCTTTCAACAATTAGTCAAGTTGTGAAAGCAAAGGAAAAGGTCTTGAAGGAAAGAAATTAAAACTGCTACTCAAGTGAACATACAAATGATAAGAAAGTAAAACAGTCTTATTGCTGATGTGGAAAAAGTTTGAGTGATCTGGATCGATCAAACCAGCCACAACATTCCCTTAAGCCAAAGTCTAATCCAGAGAAAGGCCCTCATTCTCTTTAGTTCTATGAAGGCTGAGAGATGTGAGGAAGCTGCAGGAAAAAAGTCTGAATCTAGCAGAGGTTGATTCATGAGGCTTAAGGAAAAAAGCCACCTTCATAATACCAAAGTACAAGATGATGTAGCAAGTGGTGATATAGAAGCTGTAGCAATTTATCCAGAAGATCTAGCTAAGATCACTGATGAAGGTGGCTATATTAAATCATAGATTTTCAATAGAAATGAAACAGCCTTCTATTGGAAGAAGGTGTCTTCTAGGATTTTCAGAGTTAGAGAGAAGTCAATGCTGGCTTCAAAACTTCAAAGATCAGGCTGACTCTATTGCTAGGGACTAATGCAGCAGGTGGCTTTAAATTGAAGCCAGTGCTCATTTACCATTTCAAAAATACTAGGGCCCTTAAGAATTATGCTAAATCTACTCCGCCTGTGCTCTATAAATGAAAAAACGAAGCCTGATAACAGCACACCTGTTTCAAATATAGTTGGCTGAATATTTTAAGCCTATTGTTGGGACCCATTGCCCAGACAAAGGCATTCCTCTCAAAATACTACTACTCATTGACAAGGTACCTAGTCATCCAAGAGCTCTGATGAAGATGTACAAGGAGATGAATGTTGTTTTCATGCCTGCTAATGCAACATCCATTCTGCAACTCATGGATCAAGGGGTAGTTTTAACTTTCAAGTCGTATTATTTAATATATTACATAAGGCTATTGCTGTCAGAGACAGTGATTCCTCGATGGATCTGGGGAAAGCAAATTGAAAACCTTCTGAAAAGCCTTCACCATTCTAGATGTCATTGGGAACATTTATGATTCATGGGAGAAGGTCGAAATATCAACATTAACAGGAGATTGGGAGAAGCTGATTCCAGCCCTCATGGATGACTTTGAGACGTTTAAGACTTCAGTGGAGGAAGGAACTATAGATGTCCTGGAAATAGCAAGAGAACTCGAATTAGAAGTGGAACCGGAAGATGTAACTAAATTGCTGCAATCTTATGATAAAACTTGAATGGATGAGGAACTGCTGCTTGTGGATGAGCAAAGAAAGTGGTTTCTTGAGAGGGAATCTACCCCTGGTGAGATGCTATGAATGTTGTTGAAGTGGCAACAAAGGATTTAGAATATTACATAACTTAGTTGAGAAAGCAGCAGCAGGGTTTGAGAGGATTGACTACAATTTTGAAAGAAGGTCTACTGTGGGTAAAATGCTACCAAACATCATCACATGCTACAAAAAAATATTTCATGAAAGGAAGAGTCAATCTATGCAGCAAACTTCATTGTTCTTTCATTTTAAGAAATTATCACAGCCACCTCAAACTGCAGCAGCAGCCATCAACATCAAGGAAAGAACCTTCTATCAGCAAAAAGATCATAACTCACTAAAGGCTCAGAGGATTGTTAGTATTTTTAGCCATAAAATATTTTAATTAAGGTATGCACTTTTTTAGACATAATGCCATTTCACACTTAATAGACTACTATATATTGTAAACATGACTTTTATATGCACTGGGAAACCGAAAGATACGTTTGACTTTCTTGCAGTGCTCTCTGGAACCAAAATCACAATACATCTGAAGTGCACTTTACTCTGTTAAAGTGAACACAAAACATCAGCTTGAAGGGGCCTGTGGAAGGCAGAAGAGGATGTCGAAATTCTTTGGTGATGCACAGGTCGTGGACTAACTGGAATGGTAACAACTGTAATTCCCTCTCATCTCACCTATCACCAAGTTCAGCAGCACTCTCTGCAATTTGGGGATTTGGGGGCATCATCCAAGCCTCACTGAATGACTGATACCACAGGTTGGGTCTTATTCTGAGGAATAATCCCTGAAGTTTAGAGCAGAGACTTTTCAGAACATTCCAGAATTTTTCCAGAATTTTTTCCAGAATATTCCAGAATTTTGTTTCATGCTACATTCATTCAGGAACAGCAAAATAACTGAAGCATGTTCAGGTGTCCAGAAAAACCCACTCAACTCTTTTTTCCACCTTATGTGTGTCATATTTCTGGGCAAGGAGAGCAGGGATCTTACCTGTGAGTGGAGCCCTGTCTATTTAAGAATAACCCTCCACCACTCCCTTCTGTAATGATGCAGACATGACCCAGGCCAGGGAGCTCCTAATTTCTGTGATCTATTTCCATCCCCACCTTAGCTGCCTTTCCATTACAGAGTCAGACAGGACGAGTTACAACAAAAAGCCTCAGTCCCAGCACTAGTCTCTCCATCTTCTTCAAAGGTGCCTTACCTTTCTTATTCCAAAAATGGCTGGGCCACAAGGCCCAAACCAAGAGAGATCAGCCCCAGCACAAGACCCCGAAGGCCACTCAGCATCTTGCTCTGGGCAGATTCAGACAGTGTCCCTGGGAAGTGAAAGCCTGTGTGTCAGAGCCTGTCCCCACACCCCACAGTGTCCTCATCTGGAAGCCTGGAGTCCTATCCAGGATGTAAGAGACAGAGGTAGTCTGTCACCAAGCAAAGGAGATGACAGGCAGGCAAAGACCCCAAGGGGCAGCATGGATGGATGAGGAGGAGGGGGAAAAGGAGATGACAACTCCTCAAGGATATGTCCTTCTATAACCCCACAGACCATCTCCAAGACATCAGCCCTAAGGTCAAAACCTAGAACTATAACACCTCAGAAGGCACACCGACAAGGCTGACCTGTAGTCTGGGAGTCAGGTGATGCAAAGGGCCCACCATAATAAACTGGGAGAAAAGGAGGTCAGTTCTCAGCAAGTGCATTTTGACTTGAGACAATGGGATCTCAGTCTTCCATGACTACTAGTCCAGAAATTATATCGGGATACAGTTGTGTAGGAGAGAAGGTATGAAAATGTATAACAAGCAGAGGTTAGTAGTGACCTCACCCCCACAAGACCCAGACCCCCCCCACCCTTCCTTTTTTCCATTGAATTTATGATATCAATAAAGTGCTCCTTACATCATTCTACTGTGATGGGGCTCTGGAGGCTGGGGTGCTCCAGATGGTAGGTGTAGACATCTCCACGCTCGGGTATTATTTTCTAGCATTACAAGAATCTGGTAGGTCTAATCCCTATTCTGAATAGGTGTGGATACAACTCCAGCAGTCTGCTTCTGTTTTTTCTGGAACCATCTGAGTTTCACTTGGCAAGGAAAGAAATTTGTCACCAAACAGACCAGCAAATTGTGATGGCTGACCTATGTCTTAGCTGGGGAGATGGTCACTGCAGGCTCCACTAAGAGGAATGACAACAGGAAAAGAAACTTAGAGGGTAAGGCAGCAAAGAAATCCTCATCATGGGCTCACATCCCTCCTTTGATACTAAAGTGGAAAAGATAGCAGATATTAATTAGTCTTCTACTCCAATCCCAGATCTAGGTTTTAATTAGCTAACTAGTTAGCCTACTCTTTAGAAAAGCAATACGTTTATTCAGTGGTCACTTGTTTATTAAACCAGATCATTCATGTGAAAGCTCTTTGTAACATAGACTGATAATATTTCAAATACTCGTATATACATATATGTGTAGGTATATGTACTTGCCTTCTTATGTCTGGTAAAAATAATAATTAAAAAAGATCTGACAATGTGTAACTATGTGTGATTTCTTACAAAACAAAGATCTTCATGTTTAAGTAAATCTTTAGCTCCATTATTCACAGGTTTTAGGGAAAACTGGCTAGCCATATGCAGAAAACTGAAACTGGACCCCTTCCTTACACCTCATACAAAAAATTTTTGACTTTTCTATTTCTCCTTTCATTTCTATCGGCTTTTGTCTCATGTATTTCGATGCTCTGTTGTTAGGTGCATACACACTTAAGATTGTTATGTGTCTTTGGAGCAATAACCCCTTATCATTAAATAATATCCCTCTTTATCCCTGGTAATATTCCTTGTTCTGACATCTACTTTGTCTAGTATTGACATAATTATCTCATTGTGGTTTTGATTTGCATTTCTCTAATGACCAGTGATGATGAGCTTTTTTTCATATGTTTGTTAGCCACATAAATGTCTTCCTTTTGAGAAGTGTCTGTTCATATATTTTCACCACTGTTTGATGGGGTTGTTTTTTTTCTTGTAAATTTGTTTAAATTCCTTGTAGATTCTGGATATTAGCCCTTTGTCAAATTGATAGATTGCAAAATTTTTCTCCCATTCTGTAGGTTGCCTATTCACTCTGATGATAGTTTCTTTTGCTGTGCAGAAGCTCTTTAGTCTAATTAGATCCCATTTGTCAATTTTGGCATCTGTTGCCATTGTTTTTGATGTTTTAATCATAAAGTCTTTGCCCATGCCTATATCCTGACTGGTATTGCCTAGGTTTTCTTCTAGGGTTTTTATGGTTTTAGGTTTTATGTGTAAGTCTTTAATCCATCTTGAGTTAATTTTTGGATGAGGAGGAGGAGAAAAAGGGGCGGCAACTCCTCAGGAGTATGTCTTTCTATAACCCCACAGACCACCTCCAAGACATCAGCCCTAAGGTCAAAGCCCAGAACTTCAACACATCAGAAGGCACACCGACAAGTCTGACCTGCAGCCTGGGAGTCAGGTGATGCAAAGGGGTCACCATAAAAACCTGGGAGAAAAGGAAGTCAGTTCTCAGTAAGTCCTTTTGACTTAAGAAAGTGGTCCAATTTCAGTTTCTGCATATGGCTAGCCAGTTTTCCCAACACCATTTATTAAATAGGGAATCCTTTCCCCATTGCTTGTTTTTGTCAGGTTTGTCAAATATCAGATGGTTGTAGATGTGTGGTGTTACTTCTGGGGCCTCTGTTATGTTCCATTGGTCTATATATCTGTTTTGGTGCCAGTACCATGCTGCTTTGGTTATTGCAGCCTTCTAATATAGTTCAAAGTCAGATAACGTGATGCCTCCAGATTTGTTATTTTTGCTTAGGATTGTCTTGGCTATACGGGCTCTTTTTTGGTTCCATGTGAAATTTAACGTAGTTTTTTCTAATTCTGTGAAGAAAGTCAATGGTAGCTTGATGAGGATAGCATTGAATCTGTAAATTACTTTGGCCAGTGTGGCCATTATCACAATACTGATTTTTCCTATCCATGAGCATGGAATATTTTTCCATTTGTTTGTGTGCTCTCTTATTTCCTTGAGCAGTGGTTTGTAGTTACCCTTGAAGAGGTCCTTCACATCCCTTGTAAGTTGTATTCCTAGGTATTTTATTCTCTTTGTAGCAATTATAAATGGGAGTTCACTCATGATTTGGTTCTTTGTTTGTCTGTTATTGGTATATAAGAATGCTTGTGCTTTTTGCACATTGATTTTGTATTCTGAGACTTTGCTGAAATTGCTTGTCAGCTTAAGGAGATTTTGGGCTGAGATGATGGGGTTTTTTAAATATACAATCTCTTGCCAGTCAGAATGGTGATCATTAAAAAGTCAGGAAACAACAGATGCTGGAGAGGATGTGGAGAAGTAGGAACGCTGTACACTGTTGGTGGGGGTGTAAATTAGTCCAACCATTGTGGAAGACAGTGTGGCGATTCTTCAAGGATATAGAACCAGAAATATCATTTGACCCAGCAATTCCATTTTGGTCATATACCCAAAGGATTATAAATCATTCTACTATAAAGATACATGCACATGTATGTTTATTGCAGCACTGTTCACAATAGAAAAGACTTGGAACCAACCCGAATGCCCATCAATGATAGATTGGATTAAGAAAATGTGGCACATATACACCATGGAATACTATGCAGCCATAAAAGAGAATGAGTTCATGTCCTTTGCAGGGAAATGAATGAAGCTGGAAATGATCATTCTCAGCAAACTATCACAGGAACAGAAAACCAAACACCATATGTTCTCACTCATAAGTGGGAGTTGAACAATGAGAACACGTGGACACAGGGAGGAGAACATCAAGAAAAAAACACAGAATATTATAACACTGCAACTGTGGTGTGTAAACTACTCTTATTCTAAGTAGTAAGACTACGTGATGAACCAATAAAAAATAATAACTACAACAAGTTTTCAAGACATAGTACAATAAGATATAAATAGAAACAACAAAAAGTTAAAAAGTGGGGAGATGAAGTTAAGGCAAGTTTTTATTAATTTTCTTTTGATTTTGTTTGCATGGTATACAGTTTCATTCATTTTACTTTTAAGGTAGGTATGCCTTTATATTTAAAATGGGTTTCTTGTAGACAGATTATAGTTCAATTGTGCCATTTTTGCTGTCTGATCTTCTTTATCATTTAATTGGTGTGTCTAGGCCAATTATATCTATGAAATTATCAACATGGTTGGATTATTTTTGCTAGATATTTTTTATTAATTCTATTAAACGTTTGTTCATTTTCAAAATTGTTTATCTGCCTTCTTTTGGATTAGTTTTTGCCCTAGGATTTTACATTTATGTATAATATACTTTCAAATATACCTTAGCTCAGTATGCTCCAAATTTCTCTCTCTCTCATTCATTGTGCAATTGTTATCATGTATTATATTTTTTTATATTCCATAAACACACAATATATTGCTACTAATTTTGCTCTAGACCCTCTGTTACCTATAAGGTAACCGTGCAAAGACAATTCCGTTTGTTATTTAATATCATCCCCACCAATTCTTTGTCAGTAACAACTCCTGTATGAATGAACTAGTTGCTTTAAACAGCTCTCTTAAATAAACTACACAATAACAAAAAAATAGTATGGGGAAAATACTGCTCCCTAATAGTCTTCTGTGGGAAAACACGCAAAATTACTCCCATGTGCAGATCTGCTTTCACCATAGCCCCAGGTTACTCTTCAGCTAAACAGAATAGTTATTTGATAAAGACTTTGTGCAGAGACTATAGTATGTAATCAATAAATACTTGTTGAGTTGAACTGAAATTCTTAATTCATCTGAATCAGGTTGTAGAACTGACTACTGGGAAACAGATAATATTCCTCACGCCTAATAGCGATTGATTCTTTTCCTAGGAGCTCTCCAATCCTAATGTACATATTGGAACGTTCTTTGAATAGATCTTTTCATTTATTTATTTTTAGAGACGGGGTCTTGCTACTGAGACAGCCAGGTGGGAAGGGGTCCCCAGATAAATTCCAGCCAGCCTGAGCACTGGGAGGAGTGCAAACTGGGATGGAGCCACAGAAGTTTGCACCATTTGCGGCAGGGAGGAGAGTGACCCCTCTTCTTTGGGTGGAACGTGGAATTCAATCTGTGAGGTGGGAAGCCCACTGGCAGAAAAAAATGCATTCTCTCACTTTGCTAAGAGCCTCTGTTTCCCCTTTTCTTCCTTTTCACCCAATACTCAACCTTCAAGTTGTCCTACTCACCCTTCAAGTTGTCTGTGAACGTAATTTATTGTGGCTGTGTGGCAAGGACGCTGTCATTAGCTGAACTAAGGAAAAGTCCTGTAACACTATGTTTCCCAGGCTGGCCTCAAACTCCTTGGCTCAAGTGATCTTCCTACCTCAGTCACCTGAATTGCTGGGAGTATAGGCACACACCTCCACAGTCAGCTGTACAGTTATTTTTACTTAGCATTAGTGATTTTAAAATGACAAATAATTTTAAATGGAAACTTTAAAAGCAAGTGTTTATATGAAATTATTCATATGTATTTACCAAAGGTCATCATGTATATGTAAAGCATTTTACCTAGAAATTTTAAGTTGTGATTTTGCCAGAACATTAAAAACAGAAATAATAACACAAGAATAATTCAAATGTTTTAATAACTGACAACTTTAGGGAAAAATGAATCCAGATATGTGTGATGTTTGGGGATTTTGAAAAATACCTCAAACAAAAGAAATATTTTATAAATTATTTACAATGATACAAGTTGAGTAAAAATTATTCTTGCTATAGTATTTCTCTAAAAGTATCCCATTGACTAAAGAAGATTGGCAAGGACAATCTTGCACCTGAGAGATGGTGGAGCTTGAAAGGCTTACAATGGGCACTAAAGAGAGAAGATGGGGGCAGGGGAATGCTTCCACTCTCATTTGTCCTCCTCTCCGCGCCTATGCACTTGAGATAGTCATGCATTCATTATTATCTTTGAGTCGTGGGAATATTGGTGTCCATGGGATTTTTGCACCATAAGAAATGTAAAAGGAAGACCTTCACATGGTAGCCATATGATATCACATAGAAACCTGGATCTATACAAAGAAATAAACGCTGGAAATGAAACATTTTTTCACATTTAAAAAATGGTCTAAAATGAGGCTTCTCAACCTCAGAACTGTTGGCATTTTGTTTCAGGTGATTATTTTCTTGTAGGAGGCTGCCATGTGCATTGCAGGATGTGTAACAGCACCCCTGGCCTCTACCCAATACCTGCCAGTAGCACCCTCCCCAGTAATGACAACAAAAGTATCTCCAGACATTGTCAAACATCACTTGCAGGAATTTTCTATTGGCCTCATTTTAGAATGTCTGTCTTACAGAATCATACGAAGATACTAAATCATTGTTGGAAGTCATTAAGTTTTGGAATAGTTTGTTACATAGAAAAATCTGACAGATACAACAGTCTTCAAAGAAATTCTTTTTCCTAGAAATCTCTTAGTGTTTCTGTGGCTCACAGGCTCCTATATGCCTGGAGTGCCACAGGGAGAAGCTTAAATGAATGAAGAAAAAGTAATAGTCTGTCCCAGCCCAATGTGTGATGTTACTATCATTATCATTATTAATATTTGTCTTTATATAGCAGCTCCCACTTGGGAATAGTTGCTAGGTGCCAGACACTGGCCTGTATTTAACTGTATAATTTGTACTTATCTATCGTTTCATGATATTAATTATCTTCTAATAGTTTTCATCCCACATTATAGAAAATAACCCTAAGGCTCAGGTATTCTGAGTGGCTTGCCCAGGGTGATGGAGCTGATAAAATCAAAAGCAGCATGGAATACATTTATTTTATTACAAAATCTATAATATTTTTATTTTGCTATTCTAGACTCTGTTATTTTTGTGAAGCACCTTTAACTACTGCAAGATAGAAGTCTTGGCCTTCAGAGTAAAATTTCATCAATGCATAAAATTAGACCTAAAGTTAGGGTCTTAGAGAATGTTATAACTGCTCCTTAGAACTAACATAATTTCTGCCTAATTTCTTAGAGGGCCCTTAATAATATCAATTGTAATGGCATATCCCATTGTTATTTTAGTTACGAAATCAATGGCATGTCAATTAGTGCTTTCTAAGAAAGTTATTAGACAAAGTAGTATTTTGAGCTCCAAATTTTATTCCCACTATTACTTTATGAAAAGGACTTTTTCTTTTTTCTTTTCTTTTTCTTTTTTTTTTTTTTTGAGACGGAGTCTCGCCCTGTCGCCAGACTGGAGTGCATGGAGTGTAGTGGTGCGATCTCGGCTCACTGCAACCTCCGCCTCCCGCGTTCAAGCGATTCTCCTGCCTCAGCCTCCCGAGTAGTAGCTGGGACTACAGGCGCATGCCACTACACCCAGCTAATTTTTTTTTGTTTTTTGTTTTTTGTTTTGTAGAGATGGGGTTTCACCATGTTGGCCAGGATGGTCTCGATCTCTTGAACTTGTGATTTGCCTGCCTCAGCCTCCCAAAGTACTGAGGACCTTTTCTATTTCTACAAGACAAAATAAGAAATTGGTTTCTGTTAAAATGGTATACTGTTCTTCTGAGTCTAATTTACTGATTATTCTATCTTGCATTAAAATTATGACCTGAAAACAGAAGCAAATAGAACAAGGTTCGCTGTATTCTGGCTGGATGAAGCAGGAGGAGGAGAGGGACACAAAACCAGTTAAAGATAGAAAGAGCATCTATTATCTTTTAGTCAATGACCTGGCCTTGCTTGGACTTTCCCTCCATCCCACAGGATGTGAGATCTGAGACTGAACCCACGACTTCCCTTCTAAGATACAATTCTGATCCCACATTTAACACCCTAACTTCCTAATTAGAGTTGAGTTTTTTAAACTGTGGTATTAATAGGGGAAATTCTGGAGTACTATCAGGAAAGATTTAGTTCATTTGCCAAAATCTTAAGGAATTTCTGTCAGATACAAAGCAGGTAAGTCTGGATACAGGGGAAAAAAGATAGAAATGTGTTATTTACTACACAGCAAAGAGGATGCTGCACGGTGAAGGGAGCAGAGCTCAACTGCAACCTCAAAAACCCTCTTAGTTCAAAATGGCAGTGGCTAGAAAGAGTAATAAGGCCACGTACAGTGTCATATATCTCTCCTAATCGTATTAGGGCACTTACTCTGAATCCACACAGAAGGAGACACCCCTCACCCCTCATGAGGAATCATGGCTTGCCCCTGTAGCAGCCCATCTCTACTACTTACGAGCCATGTGACCCTGGGAAAAGTCCTTTACCTCTCTGAGTTTTAATGTCCTCCTTGAAAAATGTGGATGATACTAAAGTATGACAAGTATTTATAAAGAGTAATTCATTCCAAGTGCAGTATATGTACATTCCTCACAACTGCCTAGTGAGGTACCATCAGTGCCTCCGGCCAAAGACCACGAAGAGCATACCCTTGAATGAACAAGTTGGCTTTATTGTTCGTTGCAATGATGGAGAAAAGTCACCATGGGGAATCATGCAGCAGTTCAGTAAGAGATTGTTGGAACCAAAGAAGTAGAACTAGGAGAACACATATATTAAGAGAATGACTGAAAGGAATTAATTTGTGCAACTGTAGGGGTGGACTAGGCAAGTCTAAGACCCACTGGGAGGTGGTCATCAGGAAAGGCAGGTTGAAATTCTTAGCACTGGCTGACGTGCTGCCCACAGTGGAATTTCCATTTCCTCAGAGAAGCCTCAGCTCTGCTCTTAAGACTTTTCAACTGCTTAGACTAAGCTCACCCAATTTATCTCAGATAAATTCTTACTTAAAGTTAACTGATTATGAACTTTAATGACATCTACAAAATATCTTCACAGCAACACCTAGATTATTAGTGTGTGAATAACTGGGGACCACAGTCCAGTCAACACATAAAATTGACCATTAATCAATTGTAAGATTTGTGCTTGTGTTAGGTAATTTTGAGGAGGAGTTAAGAAAGAGGGACTTCATTTTTAACTGGATTCTGACAGAAAGCAGGGAGTGGGGATTGGCAATGCTATGATTGGGTAGCTTCATAAATACTACCTAGAGGGACGGAAGACTATCCTGAGGCTACGGCTGTGATTGGTAAAGAAGCAGCAATCACTCTTTCGAGAGATGTGCCTGGTTATTTTTGTAGTTTGGACAATATTCATGTTTTGTCTGGGTGCAGACGTGATGACTGAGTGGCCTTATTTTCTGTCTCAATCCATCGCACTCACAGAGTACCTGTCTGATTCTAATGTTCTATGAAATTGATTATCTTCAACAGGAGAATCAAAACCAGCTGTGCACACCAGGCTAGCTCCTAGCAACCCCAAGGCCTTGTTAATTGCATCCAGGCAGCCCCCAGGTATCAGGATACTTTTTTATTTTACCTTTTTTTAGTCTCTGCCATTGGGAGGCAAGACAACATGCTGAGAATCTCAGAAGGCCATTCAACAAGGACAGAGTGATTCTAAATGAAACCTCCATTACTAACTTGTTGTTTCTATAACATACAGAAAATAGATTCATCTGAAAAAAGGTAAGTTTCCCTGTGATTACTACATTTTAGCTCATTCCCTAGTCCCTTGCAATATCTGAAATCTTAATGTGGTTGGATAACAAATATGAAAAGATCCAGTAGTTTAAGAAAAGTAAACCTATTTTCTTTTTTTTTTTTTTTTTTTTTTTTTTTGAGACGGAGTCTCGCTCTGTCGCCCAGGCTGGAGTGCAGTGGCGGGATCTCGGCTCACTGCAAGCTCCGCCTCCCGGGTTCACGTCATTCTCCTGCCTCAGCCTCCCAAGTAGCTGGGACTACAGGCGCCCGCCACTACGCCCGGCTAATTTTTTGTATTTTTAGTAGAGACGGGGTTTCACCTTGTTAGCCAGGATGGTCTCGATCTCCTGACCTCGTGATCCGCCCGCCTCGGCCTCCCAAAGTGCTGGGATTACAGGCGTGAGCCACCGCGCCCGGCCAGTAAACCTATTTTCTAAGTTAAAGCAATTCTCCTTATTCTACTCTCAATATTTGACTTGACATTCTTAAATTAAAAAAAAAAAATTACTGGCTGGGCGCGGTGGCTCACATCTGTAATCTCAGGACTTTGGGAGGCCGAGGCGGGCAGATCACGAGGTCAGGAGATCGAGACCATCCTGGCTCACACGGTGAAACCCCATCTCTACTAAAAATACAAAAAATTAGCTGGGCGCGGTGGCGGGCGCCTGTAGTCCCAGCTACTCGGGAGGCTGAGGCAGGAGAATGGCGTGAACCCAGGAGGCAGAGCTTGCAGTGAGCCGAGATAGCACCACTGCAGTCCGGCCTGGGCCAAAGAGCGAGACTCCGTCTTAAAATAAATAAATAAATAAAATAAAATAAAATAAATTATTAGAGTAATTGAGCCAGCCAAAGCTTTTTTAATGTAATCAATGTCCCTAAATTTCCTTTAAATATATTCAAGCAGCACCGAAACACAGAGCATAAAGATTACTAGAAGCAAAAGAAAAAACTGTAAAAGATCGGTTACTGTAGGCAGCACCGCATGACAGTCTAACCCCTTTAATTGCCCTGGTCAAAAACACCTGGAGCTTTTGAGAACTTACCCAACTGGATTTATACAAGTAGAAAAGGCAAAGGTATTGCTTGGCTACCACCAGCAGAGATCCCTAGGAAGGTGGGGTCAAGTCAAAATTTGGGGAATACCATATACACTATGGAAGCAAAAAGAAAAACAGCTAACCCACATACAGAAGCCAGAGAAAGGGGAGGGGATGGGGACTGCCAGGGAGGAAAATCACTTCAGGGAAGAATTCCTGGAGAATGTAACCCAGAAAACCCTGAAGGATGCCATATTATTGATGACCTTACCTATCCAAGCGGCTGCTCAGAAATTCCCGCCCCTCTTGACACTAGCAGACATGCACACATGACAGAAGATTCAGATTTAGTATCTTCCCTTTATTTATAGAAAATTTCCTCAAGACCATGCTGTGTGGAGGATGTGTCAGAACCAGAGGATGTCCCTGTCTTCTTCCAGGGCTCTTAATATAAACTCTGCAACTGGCAAACAATATGTCACCATAGGGGATTTTTCTGATTGGCCAAAACCTGACCTGGCAGGGTTTGGTTTGGGTGTCTTCAGATTTGCTTGTCTCGAGGTCCTCACAATTGCTCTACAGCTCAGAGCAGCAACTGCTGAGCCTGCCTTGGGAAGAAGATGATCCTAAACAAAGCTCTGCTGCTGGGGGCCCTCGCCCTGACTGCCGTGATGAGCCCCTGTGGAGGTGAAGACATTGTGGGTGAGTGCATGAGTGAGGAATGTTCTCTGGAGCTGAAAAACAGTAAATTAAAGGAAAAGAAAGAGTGCAATTTGCTAAGAAATAGTAGAAATTTCCCAAGGGTCTTTTCAATATTAAGAAATTTTAAAATTATGGCAGTTCCTCCTTTAGGAAACCAGAGCTCCAACCGACTCTCTTTGCTACCTGTGCTATTGGAGTTTACCAAGGACGTTGTTCTGTTTATATTATATCCAGAGACTATAGCCTGGAGGTCTGTGTGGCATTCCATCATGATTGCCTCAAAGACTAGGGATGTTTCCATGAATGGAGTATTTTTTTGTTATTAAAAATTTCTGAACTGTTACTCCCAAATTTCTCTGAACAACTTTTGAAGCTTTTCATATGCCTCCTATAGCATATGTTGGGGTAGATAGTTCCATGAAGTATGTACACTCTATAGATATAAAGAAAGAGGTTCTTTTCTTTCTCTCAGACTTACATTTCCACATGGGAATTGGCACAGGTGGGGAGTAGGTGAAAGAGCCCAGCAGGCTGAATGCCTTCAACAATCATTTTACCACGTGGTAAATGTGGTACTTACTCTCTGCTACCTCATATATGTCACCTCGCTTATGATCAAATAAAATGGGCATGTAGATATGCTTTATGAATAGTAAAAACACTAATGTCAACTTTTTTTAACTTATTTCTATTACAGGTATAACTTCTTATTTTTTCTTTAGCAAAGTAAGGAATATATTTTAAAACTGAGAACTTTATGATAAAATGCTTGGTAAATTAAATTATTTTATTCTCAAATTGTCAACCCAAATTACTTGTTCTTCACCTTATCTAATGAAGTCTTATAAAGAGAAAAATGGGCAGGCACAGATAATTATTTGGTCCCTTAGTCCCCTCTGCCTTTGTCGTCCATCTCTTCCCACCTCTCTTCATGCATCCCTTTCTCCCTCTTCCCTTTCAGGATCCATCTCTGACTCCCTGCTCCTTTACAGACATGGGCAGTGGGTTTGTAAAACAAAAGTTGGAAAGTCAAATAGTTAAAAGGGGAAGTGAACTGGAAGCTACTCGAAACTTCCACAACCTTATTAACCATAGCTGCTCCCATTCTGATTTTGTTTGGCAGTGGAAGTTTCACCTGCTTCTCCAGAGCACTTGGCTTTTTTGTTTCAAATTTCCTTTCTTCAACCTCACACCAGAGTGCCCCGGTCAGGCTCGACTTATCCATTAGGAACAGTGTGGGCAGTGAAGGGGACCCTCCAAACTGTAAAGCTACAAGAGAACGTTTTAACTCCTTTTAAAATTAGAAGAAAAATGAAGTTTTACAGTCTATGAAAATGTTTTAACTTTTTTTTTTTTTTTTGACGGAGTCTCGCTCTGTCGCCCAGGCTGGAGTGCAGTGGCACGATCTCCGCTCACTGCAAGCTCCGCCTCCCAGGTTCACGCCATTCTCCTGCCTCAGCCTCCCGAGTAGCTGGGACTACAGGCGCCCGCCACTGTGCACGGCTAATTTTTTGTATTTTTAGTAGAGACGGGGTTTCACCGTGTTAGCCAGGATGGTCTCGATCTCCTGACCTCATGATCCGCCCGTCTCAACCTCCCAAAGTGCTGGGATTACAGGCGTGATCCACCGCGCCCGGCCTTAACTTTTAATGTAGCCTGGATTGTATTTGTCTTTATACCAATACAATCAGAAGCTGTAATTTTCCGTATTTTTATGGAGGAAGGCGCCCACAAAAGCAACAGTGCTTGGGGCTCACAAGTCAGAATTCAGCCCTGGGCATCCCTGATCCTGGGCTTTGCGTGGTTCTGCTACCTGGGTGCCTGTCAGTCTTCCCCAAAATCTATGTAATTGTCAAAAATTGCAATTGTCATTCAATACACATGTTTGAGCACACAATGAGCTAACTTTTGGGAATTCAAAGATAAAAAATCATGCTGTCTGCCTTGCAGAGGGTGCACAAACCAGTGATGGAAACAGTATGGGGCACAGGAAAGCAGAAGGCCCTGCTGAGCAGGACACTGGCCCAGCAGAGGCTGAAACTATAAAAATGACTTGGTTCCAGCTGGGCCAGTAGAGTGATGTCCTCCAGCAACACTTAGCACCCAGGACAAGTACCAGATGAAAAGAAGGATTGCATGTATTCCACATATATTCATGTTTGAACAAGGAGTCAAAGTTTATTGTAAGGATAAGGAGTCTTTGTTGGTGGCCTGTTAAGTAACCAACCAGGGCAGTCATGCTGGGTAGGGAAGAAGGTGAGCTGGAGGAGGAAAAGACAAACTTGGAGAGCCAGACATTGAGATTCCATTGAGGCGTTGGAGGTCACAACGCGGTCAAAAACATGTTGAGAGGACTTAGCTGCAAAGTTGTTAACTAAGTAGAAACCTCAAGGATGAATTTTAGGATTTCTCCAGGAAATCCTAAAAGATAACTTCTTTCAGGGAGAAAAAACAGACCCTTGCAAAGACATGAAAGGAAATGTAGTTTGGTTTGATTGGCAGATAGTTGTGAAGAATGTCGGACTGTAAGGCTGTCGATATCCTCCTCACAGAATTCCCCAAAGTACATTGTATTTGCTCCCTTACCGACCTGATTCTCCCACTATTCAGTTCATTCCTTGATGCTGTTTTAAGCAACCCCTGCTCTGTCTGACACTTTTGGATGCTCAGTAAATGAGGAAGGAAGGAAGGAAAGATAAAATGGTAAAGGGCTCACACATGTCTTAACAAAAATGTCCAGTTCGGCTCATTTGGCTATACTTCATGGCTGCTGCTCTGCCCTGGCATCCTCGGATAAGCTCGCTGCCCATTAGAGGAAAAAGGGTTTAATTTACCTGAGTCCTCGAGTGAATGTAATTGTTGAATCAGAACACTATAGATATTTAGTAACCTCCTTCAGAGGAAAAAAAAAAGTGGGGGCAATGACAGAAATTAAAAAACCAGTTGAGCTTCCACTTTTCATTTCAGAAGAAATCAGGTGCTCTCCTCTAAGGACCACTACTATTAACAAAACAGAGACCTTAGAAGAATTGTTTATTTGTTATAAATGTATAATGTTGCTATTCTTGTAATAGTCTTTCTTGTACCCTATAATTGTTAGAAGAAATTATTTTAAGTTAATACGTTCCTACATGCTTTTCTTTGGTTTAAAAAAAAAAAAAAAAGGAAACTCTGTGTAGAAAGTGTCCTGTTCTGATCTAGTCCTGACAGGAAACGAAGTATAATCAACTTGTTATTAACTGAGAGAGAAAACTTAGGAAGCAGAGGGAAATAAACTGAATCTCTGAGTAAGAAAACTAAATCCTATGATAACTCATTCATTCCTTCCTTTGTTTATTGCAATATTCATCATAAGCTTATGATGTGCCAGGCACTAAGTAGGCACTCAGGAAATAACAGACGTGTGACGTTCTGCCTTTGTGGAGCATATGTTATAGTGAGAAAGACAGAATCAGTTCTAACCTGATGACTACCAACGTTAGGCAAGGAGGAAGCAGGTGTTAGGAAGATTGTTCAGGGACTGTGCCAAAGATGAAGCCCATAATATTTGAAAGTGAGTTTCTTCAATCACTTTCTGTATTAAGGTTCTTTCTCCCTGTGTTCCACCCTCCTGCTTGTCACCTTCACTCGTCAGCTGACCATGTTGCCTCCTATGGTGTGAACTTCTACCAGTCTCACGGTCCCTCTGGCCAGTACACCCATGAATTTGATGGAGACGAGGAGTTCTATGTGGACCTGGAGACGAAAGAGACTGTCTGGCAGTTGCCTATGTTTAGCAAATTTATAAGTTTTGACCCGCAGAGTGCACTGAGAAATATGGCTGTGGGAAAACACACCTTGGAATTCATGATGAGACAGTCCAACTCTACCGCTGCCACCAATGGTATGTGTCCACCATTCCGCCTCTCTTTACTGAAACTAATCTTTCATACCAAGTTTTACTCCCTTCTTCTCAAGAGATTTCCAGATCTTCTCATGGTAATTGCTGAAATTTTATCATCTCCCATCTCTAAAATCACATATTCCCATGTAATACAAGGGTCTTTCCATTATGTATTAATTCCTACTTTATTAAACATGCCCACAGAGAGAAGGGCACAGGAATAAAGCAGAGGCAATGTGTCGTTGCTCCCAAGCAGAAGGTAAATAAGACCTCTTTGACTATCAGGTGGTGAAATGCTGGTAGGAGGGCTCTTCCAGGATGTAATGCAGAAGCTCATGGCAGAGCTATTCACACTTCACATCAGTGCTGTTTCCTCACCACAGAGGTTCCTGAGGTCACAGTGTTTTCCAAGTTTCCTGTGACGCTGGGTCAGCCCAACACCCTCATCTGTCTTGTGGACAACATCTTTCCTCCTGTGGTCAACATCACCTGGCTGAGCAATGGGCACTCAGTCACAGAAGGTGTTTCTGAGACCAGCTTCCTCTCCAAGAGTGATCATTCCTTCTTCAAGATCAGTTACCTCACCTTCCTCCCTTCTGCTGATGAGATTTATGACTGCAAGGTGGAGCACTGGGGCCTGGACGAGCCTCTTCTGAAACACTGGGGTAAGGATGAGTTCCACTACTTCATGGGTTTCTAATAATAGACTTCACTCTTCTCCCTAAGCCTGGGGCCTTGAGTCTTGCAGAGCCAGCCCTCCACCCCATCCCATCCCACACACATGCACATGAGCACACTGCACATTCTGACCTCAACAGCTCCACTTTCACAGAGCCTGAGATTCCAGCCCCTATGTCAGAGCTCACAGAGACTTTGGTCTGCGCCCTGGGGTTGTCTGTGGGCCTCATGGGCATTGTGGTGGGCACTGTCTTCATCATCCAAGGCCTGCGTTCAGTTGGTGCTTCCAGACACCAAGGGCTCTTATGAATCCCATCCTGAAAAGGAAGGTAAGATTGAGATTTGTTGGAGCTGAAACCTCAGTATGAGAGGGAGGAAAGTGGGAGGGGGTTGTGGACATGAATGTGGTTGAAAGTTGTAGGCGAATTGGGAAGTGGCATGATGATCACACAGGAGGCCCCTCAGACCCATCGATCTCATGTCTGTCCTGTTGCAGGTGCATCACCATCTACAGGAGAAGAAGAATGGACTTGCTAAATGACCTAGCACTATTCTCTGGCCTGATTTATCATATCCCTTTTCTCCTCCAAATGTTTCTTCTCTCACCTCTTCTCTGGGACTTAAGGTGCTATATTCCCTCAGAGCTCACAAATGCCTTTCAATTCTTTCCCTGACCTCCTTTCCTGAATTTTTTTATTTTCTCAAATGTTACCTACTAAGGGATGCCTGGGTAAGCCACTCAGCTACCTAATTCCTCAATGACCTTTATCTAAAATCTCCATGGAAGCAATAAATTCCCTTTTGATGCCTCTATTGAATTTTTCCCATCTTTCATCTCAGGGCTGACTGAGAGCATAACTTAGAATGGGCGACTCTTATGTTTTAGGCCAATTTCATATCATTCCCCAGATCATATTTCAAGTCCAGTAACACAGGAGCAACCAAGTACAGTGTATCCTGATAATTTGTTGATTTCTTAACTGGTGTTAATATTTCTTTCTTCCTTTTGTTCCTACCCTTGGCCACTGCCAGCCACCCCTCAATTCAGGTACCAACGAACCCTCTGCCCTTGGCTCAGAATGGTTATAGCAGAAATACAAAAAAAAAAAAAAAAGTCTGTACTAATTTCAATATGGCTCTTAAAAGGAATGACAGAGAAATAGGATACAAGAATTTTGAATCTCAAAAGTTATCAAAAGTAAAAAATTTTGTTACCAAAAGTCAAACTGCATTCTCAAAACTTTAAATTTGTGAAGAATGACAACAGTAGAAGCTTTCCTCTCCCCTTCTCACCTTGAGGAGATAAAAATTCTCTAGGCAGGAAAAGAAATGGAAGCCAGTTAGAAAAACATTGAAATAAGGCCAGGCACGGTGGCTCACACCTATAATCCCAACACTTTGGGAGGCCAAAGTGGGCAGATCACTTGTGGTCAGGACTTCGAGACCAGCCTGGCCAACGTGGTTACACCCTGTCTCTACTAAAAATACAAAAATTAGCTGGGCATGGTGCTGGGCACCTGTAATCCCAGCTACTCAGGAGGCTGAAGCAGGAGAATCGCTTGAACCTGGGAGGTGGAGGTTGCAATAAGATTGTGCCACTGCACTCCAGCCTGGGCAACAGAATGAAACTCCATCTCAAAAATAAATAAATACATATAAATAAATTTTTTAAAAAAGAAAAATATTAAAATAAGGCAATAATATAAGGGGGTATCTGAAAAGGAACAAATGCTTGTTCCTTACTTAGGGTTAGTGACAATGGAAAACAGATAGAAGTAGAAGCTACAGACCCATTTAGGGGCCCCAGCCCCCTGCTCCTCCCCCTTCCTGGCTAAGGAAAGCATGAGCCTATGAGAGAGAAATCCTAGGAAGAACAAGACAGTTGAGACAATGTAGCAGCAGTAGTGGGTGCTGTGTCCTACACTGGATTCGTGGTCTCCTAATAGAAAATCTCTCAGAGGAAATGGGTCCACAGGGACCTGAGAGCTCTAAACAGCTATGAAATCTGCCAGGATATTTCTGTCCATGCTATCTGCATCAGTGAGTTTAAAATGTAATAGGAGAAAAAAAAGAGACAAAACGTTAACATAATAATTGATACAGCATAGTTTTGTACAAAGAAACCTAAATCCAAATACTTGACTCAGTATTTTGAAGCTAATATTTTAAACTTTACTGGGTAAAGTATCTGATTGACATTTCTGAACCTTATTTTTCTCATCCACAATGTGGGAGTGATAATATTTTCCTTGCAGAGTTATTGACAGAATTTGAATAATCTTGGTATATAGACAGTGCCTTACACGTAGTATATAAATATATAAGAAAACACTGCAGTTATGTTTATAATGGATTTATTAAAAAGAATGGATCATATTATATGAAAAGTACATTTGTTTTCCTTAGCCCTTTAGTGATTTAGGAGATTCAAGCGTAGACGTAAAAGTGAGTTTCTTTTCATATGTTAACTGGAGGATTTTTTTCTTTCTTGAGAGGCTGAGATTGGGTTGCTAAGAGAACTCTTAGGACAAGAAGTTGTAATATTTGACTTCGGTTTTTAACTCTCTAAGGGGTATATTCCCTCCTTATGTCCCATAAATTTTAAGTCAAGGTGAATTATATGCAACAGCAGTTTATCCATATTTACTTTGGGGAGGAGGTGGGGAGACTCCGGGAGAAAATAATTATAAATGCAGACTGGGAATTAGTAAGTGCAGGGAATCTGAACCAGTGGTGATCATGAAAACGTCCATCACAGAACACAGAGGATTTTTAGGGCAATGAAACTACTCTATTTGATACCACAATGGTGAATAAATATCATTATGCGCTTGCCCAAATCCATAGAATGTACAACACCAAGAATGAACCTTAATATAAACTATGGACTTTGGGTGATAATGATGTGTCAGTGTAAGTTCATAAGTTGTAGCAAATGTACCTCTGTCATGAAGGATGTTACTAGTGGGGGAGGCTATGCATGTGTGGGAACAGAGAGCATATGGGATACATCTATCTGTACTCTACAATTTTTCTGGGAACCTAAAACTTCTCTAAAATAAACTCTATTAAAAAAAAAGAAAAGAAAAGGTCAACAATAATGATCCCAAATATATAAAATTAAAACTGTAGTATAAAAATGGTCACATGAAAATGCATGAATGTGCTAAGAACTTTTCTGCAATAGGATTTAAAATAAATTTTATATAAATTTCAATGATTCATGAGCCAAGAACCCAGCATTCTGGAGGTGTGTGCATTTGTGTGTGTGTGTGTGTGTGTGTGTGTGTGTGTGTGTGTGTAAGGCTTACATTGAATGGCATTATAACCAGAGTCATACAGAAATACACAAATGCTCCCCTATTTAGAATCCTTCCCCAAGAAATACTGAGGAAAGCAAATATAATGGTAGTTGGATTTTACTGAAAGAATGTATTCAAAAAGTATTTATATAATGTTAAAATAGCATAGCTAAAATTAGTTTTATAAAATAGAGCAAATATATCTTTTTATCAGCTAAAAGTTCAAAGTGAAATCATCATTATTATATTATTATATTATTATTATAAACAGTTATAAATCAGGCTGCATGATTTTAAATTAAATGATTCTTAAAAATTGTTATCTGAATTATTTCAGATTACATACATAAAGTATGACTTCATTAATAGGTAATATCACATTGTTTAAATTTTACAAAATTTCCAGTCACAATGGTTCATGCCTGTAATCTCAGCACAAGGTGAGGGTCCCTTAAAGCCCAGGAGATGGAGACCAGTCTGTAGTCCCAGCTAGTAGGGAGGCTGAGGCAGGAGGATTGCTGCTTGAGCCCAGGAGTTCGAGGCTGCAGTGAGCTAGGACTGACTGCACCACTGCACTCGCTCCAGCCTGGGCAACACAGCGAGACCCCGTCTCTAAAAATAAATAAATAAATGAATAAATAAATAAAAATTACAAAACGTAAAAATCACGTAAAATATTTCAGGTTTGTACTTACCACATACAAACTAGAGATATGAAGAATTAAACATTACAAATAAAGCACTTCACACACAGTCTGGCCCATAGTAAGCAGTTTATAGAAGTTAACAAATTTGTGTTATTGTTATTTTCTGGAGTCCAAGACAAAATCCCATGATGAATGACACCACAAGGATGTAAGCAACAAAATTCAGAATATGAGAAGTTCTACTAGATTAAATAAAAAGATTTCTCCAGCAAACAATTTGCAAAAAAAGTTAAAAATAGAGAAAAGAAAAGCTATACACTTGAAAAAGACTGAAGAAATATAGTAACCAAACGCTGAGCTTTGTCTAGATTCATATTCAAACAAAACATCTGTTAAAAAATTTATATGAGGCAATCAGAAAAATTGACACTGAGTGTATTAAGGAATTATTTATCTCGTTTTAAATGTGTTAGTGGCATTGCTGTTATGTTTCTAAAAAGCCATTATATTTTAGATTTTCATAATAAAAATGTATAAATGAAATATGATACCTAAAAATATCTTCAAAATAATCCAGTATGTGCCTGTATGATAACTGGGTGGGTTTACAAAATTGCTCATGAATTGATTATTGTTAAAGCAAGGCTGTTGATACATGGAATTCTTCTCTGTACTATTGCACACAGTTGAAATTTTCTGTAATACAAAGGTTTTTTTTTTAAATGTATTCAGGAAAGTCCCATAAACATAGGCAGACAAGCATTCTGTTTGAAGTTATGTTAGTTTTTCAGTTTTTCTCATTTTTATCACATTTAGGAAACCCTGTCCAAGGCCTGCCCAAGACTGTAAGAACCTCTCAGGAATGCAACTATAAAGAATGTGTATGCAGGAACTAATAATAACAAAGGAAAGCAAAGTAATGCTTGCTTTATTATTGGCTGGACTAAGCCCCCAGACTTGTTTATATATTCACTAATTCATCAAAAATGCAAAAATGGTCATTGAGTACCAGTGCTACAATAAGTACTCATAGTTTGTTGAATGTTATTAAAATAATGTGAAAACAATTACATTCATTATCTTCATAGAACTTACACTCCAGTGGGAGGAAAATACATATATTACATAATTCCACAAACATAGTTACAAGGTCTGAAACATTTATAAAGAAAAAGAATGAGGTAAAATGAGAGAGTGTTGCACAGGGACCAGGTATGATTTGGGGCAGTTTAGAAGTGGCTTGAAGAAATGTATCTTGAGATGAAATAAGGTGGTATACAGTAGGTAAAGGACAAGGTTGAAGAGGCCAGAGCAAATGTTTGAGAAACTCTTACAATATGAAAGAGAAGATGAGAATAAAATAACATGAAAATTATCACAGATTTAATAGAGAAAGTTCATGTAACAGCAAACAAGTTTAAAGTCATTCTAATTAGAATTCTTGATCTGTAAAAGTAATAATAGAATGCTAAAAACAATTGGAAAATTTAATAGAAAGATTGGAAAATTAAATCAAGAAAATCTCACAGTAATTTAAAAGGCAAAAAAAAAATGTAATATATGGTAGAAAAAATAAGATGGAGAACAGACCAAGGAAGTCAAACATCAAGTGACAAAGCTAGAGAGACCAACAGGGAAGATGAAGGGAGAAAATGATCAGAACAAATAATAAGGGAAAATGTTCCAGATATAAAGGATTTAATTCTTCCATGGAATAGTCTTGTCAGGTATTTAGCAAAATTAACAGACTCACTTCTAAATATCTCATTTTCAAAATTTCAGAACTTCAGGTGTTATAGAAAAGTCATAAAATATTCCAGTGGCGGAAACCAAAATGAAACAAACTGACAACAAAAAAAATACTTCTATTATTAAGATAATGAGAAAGTCCTTGAAGTTCTAAAGGAAAATTATTTTTTATTAATAAATGTAGATCTTTTCAAAGTCACAATCAGGCATGGAGAAAGAATAAAAATACCTGTGAATGTGAAAGAACATAAAATTTACCTACCACGCAGAGTTTTACTAGAAATTGACTAAGGATATGACCAATTGAGATTGTTAATCAGGATATAGGAAGGTAAGGAATCCAGGAAACTGGGTTTAACCCAGGATCTCACTGAAAACGGATCCTACTACAGCAGTTTCTTGGCAAGCAAAGAATACCTGACTACATAAGTGATATTTAGAAAGTGATAAACTTTTTTTTTCAAATTTAGAATTAATCTGTGAGCAAAGCCCAAGGAATCTTATTGCTACAGCAGAATGTCAATATTTTCAGCTTTGACAATATTGGGGGGAAAAAAAAGATGTAGATACTTCATTTTGGCAACTGGAAGTGTAAAGGAGAGGGGAAAGGGAGGGTGAAAATGCCAATAACTTCATCTTCCAAGAAGGAGGGGAAGAGGCATTGCCCATACTTACAGAAGTCACAAAGATCAATATATTTAAATTACAATCACAACTGGAAAAAGTATGTAAAATGACTCATGAATTAGAGCAAGGTTTTAGAAATTGGACTATTATTTCAGTTACAAAAAAAATGGACTGTTATTCTTCGGCCTAAGCTATTCAGAAGCTGCAAGAGCCCCTCAGAGTCGGCCCAAATTAGAGCAGGTTTTATACTCCTATACTGACCAATCATTATAGGCGAGTTCCTCCTGGGAAGTGGATCAAAATCCGATGAGGCAGCTTTCATCACCTAAGGCAATTCCGGGGCGTGACTGAAAGCTGAGGGCAGTCAGCCAGCAACATTCCCAGCAATGACAGAATAAATCGTTCAGTCTCAAAGGGAGGAGTTTAGGTACAGTGGAACAGCACTGACGGCAGAAACACTGTTCTAGTTCCTGGGAGTACATATACATTCATGTGGAAGAAAACAAACAGATAAAATTCAGCATCTATTTAAAAATTAAAAATAAAACTACCACATGATCCAGCAGTTCCACTTCTGGGTACATATGCAAAGAAAATGAAATCTGTATCAAAGAGATATCTGCACTCCCGTGTTTATTGCAGCACTATTCACAATGGCCAAGAGATGGAATCAACCTAACTATCCATCAGCAGATGAATGGATAAAAAAAATGTGGTGCATATACACAATGGAATACTATTCAGCCGTATAAAAGAAGGAAATCTTGTCATTTATAGCATGGACGAACCCATTGGACAGTATGCTAAGTGAAATAAGCCAGGCACAGAAAGACAAATACGACATGACCTAACTTATATGCAGAATCTTAAAAAGTCAAAGTCATGGAGGGGGTGGGGTGTGGGGAGAGGGAGAAAAAGGAATGAGATGTTGGTCAAAAGGTATAAGTTTCAGTTAGAGAGGAGGAATAAGTACTGAAGATCAATTGTGCAGCATGGTGACTAGTTAACAATATCATACAGTTGTCCCTTGGCATCCATGAGGGATTGGTTCTAGGACCCTTCCTGGATACCAAAATATAAGAATGCTCAAGTCTCTTATTAAAAATGGCTTAGTTTTTGTACATCACCTAAGTATGTTTTCCCATATACTTTAAATCATCTTTGGATTACTTATAATACTTAACGCAATGTAAATGCTATGTAAATAGTTGTTATACTGTATTGTCTTTTAAGTTGTATTATTTTTATGTTGTATTGTTGTATTTTATCATTTTTTCCAAATATTTTCAATCCATGGTTGACTGAATCAGAGGATGCAAAACCCACAAATACAGGGCCAGCTGTATTGTATATTTGAAAATTGCTAAGACAGATTTTAAATATTCACACCACATAAAAAAATAAGTATGTGAAGTGATGGATATGTTAATTAGCTTGATTTAATCATTTCATAGTGTATACATATATCGAAATGTCAATTGTACCTTATAAGTACTCAATTATTTGTAAATTAAAAATAATTTAAATTTTTTGAAATGTAACATTCTTAACTTTTTCTTGTTCAAATAAAGTTTTCTGTTCTTTATTTTCAAAAACTTTTTTGTTTAAAAATATCATCTCAATCATCTCAATTTCTATTAACTCAATTGATTCACCCTATTAACTTATGAACTCTCCTCTGAAGTTAAACATTCCATGATTATTGAGAAGGGTAAAGTTAATGTGCAGTAAGATCTTAGCCCACAGTAAAAAACAAATCTCAGTGATGTCACTCAATAAAGAGACTTAATTCCACAGTTTCTCCAGTGACTCAGGTTATATGGAGTTTCCATCGTCTCATCGTGCATCTACTTGCAAGTTCCATTGGCTAGTATTAGTCAAATGATCCCAACCTAACAGCAGAAAAGACTGGGAGATGTAAAGAACCTTATGGCATATTGACGAGCACCATTGTCTCTGAAAGATATGCTGATATTTCCTAAGGTAAGGACAAATGCTCACAACTGGCAGGTTGTTCTCTAGAACACCCACATACTTTCCTCCAAGTTATATGCCTACTAAGACTCAATTCTTCTTGTTAGCAAACTTATTTATAAAAAATGTACTTGTTACTTTAATTATCAATTAAAGATTATACTACCCAATGAAATCTGGGTGCAAAAAATAATTGTTTCTATGAAACTGTCAGTGGAAGAAAGGGAAAAAGACTTTGATCCTCTCATAACCAGGATGTGTTCAGTGTGACAATGTTGAACTGAATGTTCTAGAATCTGTGTTGGACTGCATTAAATACGGTCATAGGCTGCATGCAGCCCGCGGGCTGAGGGTTGGAAAAGCTTGTCTGACTTAATGACAAACCCAGAGACTGACATGTAGACCATCTTCAGGGCTGAGCCCACATCAAAGGGGTCACAGTGTGTAGTAACATCCCTCATAATCGGGAAGAGGGTGTCATCAGGAATGAACAGGTTACGATGTCAATGACAAAGGGAGCTCAGACAAGGAATGAGATGGCTGTGAACAGGTACCCCCACTGAGGGACCCTAGAACCAGAGGAAGCTCTGCCATTTGACCTGTGTCCTCCACAAGAAACAAACTTCCCCTACACCACTCTACTGTGAGGAGGCTCTGGAGGCTGAGGTGCTCCACATGGCTGGTGTAGACATCTGCACACTGGAAGTCATTTCCAGCATCAGAAGGATCTGGAAAACCCAGTCCTCCTTCCTAATAAGAGGGATGAGCACGCTGGCTGGCAGCATCCTGTGCACAGGATGGTGTGTTTGGGAGGTGTGCATGTTACCCAGGCTTGGACAATCAGAATCTTTCCCCAAATTATTAAAACTCTGGTAGACACTTCAGAAACATATACAACAAAGACAGACACACACACACGCACGTACACACACTCACACGAAGAGAGAGATGAGATAAGGTGTGAGGTGATAAGAGAGATGCAGAAAATAAAGAGATGCAAAAAGAAAAAGAGAAAGAAATGCAGATAAATAGTGACAAAGGATTACAAACATAGAGAAAGGCAACAATGCACTGAAAGAGACACAAGAAGGGAACAAAGACAAAACTGGAGAGAGACACACAGAAAGAACTACACAGGGACAAAGAGACACACGGAGAGGAGAGGAGGATGCACAGATGAAACTATAACAGAAAGAGAAGAGAGATGAAGATCTCATTGAATATCTGGAACTAGTCACTTCTGAAACCAACATTCCTTGTAACATGAATCAAATATCTTTGGGTTGGGTGTCTATCATTTGGAACCAAAAATAGTACTTTCATTGCTGGTTATGCTTTCTTAAAAATAAAAATTAGTCTTGATTGATGTGACTTGCCAGCCAGAATATATTTGAAACATCAGTCACTATAGTTGTCCCCAAACAATTCCACCATGCTTACTTAGACAACACTCGCCAAACCAGAAGAGAGGCTGGGATGTCCTAAGGCCATTGCACTGAACATCAATATTAAAGAACCATGAATGATGTGATGACTGAATTGATTTTCTACCTCCTCTGCCTACCCTTACTTTGCACCCCAAGATGCTTTCAGTGTCTTTTCAAAGTACAACCCTCTTTCTAGCCACGGTTTGGCTGGGTCACCTCAAGGTATGTTCCTTCACTTGGCAGTGGTTTCCTACCTCTGCTTAGTTAAGGAAGTTCCGAATACAGATAACTCAGAATCAGGTTTAATTATGGGAAAAAGCACTAAAGTCAGGTAAATGATTTTGTTTGTCATGCTTCTCTTGACAGGTCTGTGGGGGGAGAATGGAAACAGAGATGCCCCTTGGGGCCTGAGTAGACACAGCTTGCAGTGCACAGGCAGAGGCTCTGGGTCAGTGCAGGAAGCAGAGTCACCACCAGTGCCTTGGGATGGGGATCACAGAAGGTGACCTGTGGCTGCATGAGCCACTGTAGGACTCTGACCTCAGTGGGACAGGGTGACACAGGCAGCTAGGAATTCTGGGCAGGGGCAGGTGGGCATTACAGAAGAGTGATGACCAATCCCAGACAAAAGTCCTCAGGAGTCAGTGCAGGAGTCCTGGAGAAGAGAGACGAGGCATGATCAGCACAGGGTACCCTGAGGGACACACCCTCTCCCCTAGTCCTCAGTTCCCTCTGTAGCATCAAACAGAGGATGCTGAGGTCCAGGGCATATCATCATCACGTTCCCCAATATCTGTGTAAAGGTAAAATCAGCTCATGAGGACACAGAACTTCAGCTTGATGCAGATATGTGGAGGTGGGGGAACAGCAGTTACCCTTCTGGGTAATATGAAGAGTTTGATTTTTTTAGTAAATTGGGTGACACTTCATCTCCACCACTAGCAGCCTCTTTTAGTCACTGAAAATGCCTACAGGCAGTAGCTAACAAAATGTGGCACAAAGTGGGCATCACCCTACTATCTCACATTCAAGATGTGGCTCTGTCCCCACATTTCACAAAAAGATGCCACCAAAGTTAAGGCCTGGTTCTAGGAAACAATCTCTGGAGATTCGTAGAAACTGGCAAACTTTTCCCCTAAGTCTTAACCCTCATAGCAGCAAACAGGCCATGAACAGAGACCACTGTGCCCTGGAACACTCCGCTCATGCTCTTCTTTTTTTTTTTTTGAGACAGACTCTAGCTCTATCGCCCAGACTGGAGTGCAGTGGCGCCATCTTGGCTCACTGCAACCTCTGCCTCCTGGGTTCAAGTGATTCTCTTGCCTCAACCTCCCAAGTAGCCGGGATTACAGATGCACACCACCACGTCCAGCTAATTTTTGTATTTTTAGTAGAGATGCGGTTTCACCATGGCTCTTCCCTCTTATGCCTGTGCCCTCTCCCCTGACTGGATCATGGCTGAAATATTACCTGCTGGTGGAGGCCCTCGAGGTCCTACAAAAGGAAGTTATACAGAGAAAGGTCTTGTTAAACAAACAACCACTATCTTACCCCAAAGGAAAATGACACATGTAGTTTAATTGGGGTTATATCCTCTTCCCTCCCATGTTCTTTAAGTCCTTAAGCACCCTAAGTTAAAATCCCCCAAAACAAAGGAAATTGTCACTAGAAGACAAGGAGGCCAAGGCTCTGACCCTCATAATGGAGGAAGCTTTTAGAAAGGAGCCAGTGAGACGATGATGAACGGTAAGGACGCCCTGGAATAAGCTCTATCAGTCAGCTCTGGCAGCGCTACCATTCACCCAGTAAAATCAGATTCCAATGCCTCCTCCAATCTTGTCCTGTCTCCTCGCACTTCCTCTCAGGGTAAGGAGGAAAGAGCTACATCTAGAGACAGAACCTCTCTGAATAGAGGGTCTGGGTCACAGCTCATCTTCCCCATTTCCCCCTTGGGTTCCTCACCTTTCTGACCCCTGTGACGGATGATAAGGCCCAGCCCGAGGAAGATCAGCCCCAGCACGAAGCCTCCAATGCCACTCAGCATCTTGCTCTGGGCAGATTCAGACTGAGCCCCTAAGGAGCAGAACTGAGTGTGAGTGTTTGTCCCCACACCCCATAATGTCCTTGGTACAGGAGGTGGAGATGTCAGGGGACACTAGTTCTCCAGTCTGACCACCCTAGGGAAGAGAAAGACCAGCCAGTAGGTCTTTGGACACAATAGGTGGGTGAGGGAGAGGAAGAAGCGCACCCCTGCCCCTCAGGACTTCATCCATAACCTTAAACCCTAAGGCCCCAGTCACCAGCCCTAAGTCAGTCTCTCATAGCTGTCAGAGCTGGTTCTGGGGCTTTAGTAGTGTTGATATGGTTTGATTCTGTGGCCCCACCCAAATTTCATGTTCAATTGTAATTAACAATGTTGGAGGTAGAGCCTGGTGGGAGGTGACTGGATCATTAGACCAGATTCTTGTCACCATCTCCCTTAGTACTGTCATTACAATAGTGAGTTCTCATGAGATCTGGTTATGTAAAACTGCGTAGCACCAACCCCCTCTCTCTCATGCTCCTGCCCCTGCCCTGTGAGACACCTCACTCCCTCTTTTCCTTCTGCCATGATTAGGAGCTTCCATATGTCTCCCCATAAGCAGAAGCCACTATGCTTCCCCTGCAGCCTCAGAATCATAAGCCAGTTAAACCTCTTCTCTTTATAAATTACCCATTCTCAGGTATTTCTTTATAGTGGAGTGAGAAGAGCCAATTAAACCTCTTTTCTTTATAAATTACTCAGTCTCAGAGATTTCTTTGTAGCAGTACAAGAATGGACTAACACAAATGTGGAAAGTGATCTCCCTGGTATCTGGAAAGACAAAGAGATCAGGATTCATCTGATGTGCTTGCCATGGGGCAACAGGTGCTCTAGTCTCCTGTGATTCCCAGCTCAGTAGTGATGTCAGGGACAAGAGATGGGATGGGAAGGATCAGCGGGAGCTCTGCCCTTTGTCTTGTGGGGCCCACAGTAAAAGGAAACCAGTTTCCCCTTACGCCACTCCACGGTGATGGGGCTCTGGAGGCTGGGGTGCTCCACTTGGCAGGTGTAGATGTCTCCACGCTGGGGAGTTATTTCCAGCATCACCAGAATCTGGAAGGTCCAGTCACCATTCCTAATGAGGGAGGTGGACACAACACCGGCTGTCTCCTCCTGGTCATTCCGAAACCACCGGACTTTGATCTGGGCTGGATAGAAATCTGTCACTGAGCAGACCAGCAGGTTGTGGTGGTTGAGGGCCTCTGTCCTGGATGGGGAGATGGTCACTGTGGGCTCCACTGAGGGCAGTAACAGACAGGGAAAGATATAGGAGTGAGATGTGAGACCACACAGCACGCCTGCTGTGAGGAAGGTCCCTCCTTGGAACCAGAATAGAAAGATACCTGGAGTCCAAGTCTTGGATTAAGGTTCCTTCAACAAATATAAATTTGACAATCACTGAGAATCCAAAAATAAACAACAAACCCTGGTTCCTGCCTTTATAGAACTTGCAATCTAGTAACAGAGACCAAAAAATTGAATGTTATTTCAAAAGTTTGTAATATTTGAAGGAAAAGTAGGCAGGCCTTGAAAAAAACTAACACTGATCAAACATCATGTTTGCCCATAACTCAATTCCTTTATCTTCTCAGAGCGCTGCTCATGGTCAAAAATGACACACCTTTCCCTGCATATTTTATACATCTTAACCTTTACCTCTCTGGCCATTTTACTGCATTTCCTTTATTTCTTTAGTGTAAAATTATAGTAAATATTTAATGTATGCTTTATTTACTTGGTAATATGTTCTCTCATTTTCCTGCTTTTTCTTAATTTCCTTTTAACCCTCAAGATAGTGTAATTACTAGCTGCCTACCCTACTCCATCCCCTTGCTATTGAGAATTACTTTCTTGTTCTGAAATCAGACATTATCATGTACGTTCTCCATAGGAAATATTCTGAGATCCATGCAGAGGTTGGCCTGGGTGAATGTGCCTGTAATGCAAACATATACATATAGCTGGGATTTGCTGAGGTCAGCAGGTAGCACCCCAATTAAATGGCACTCATGAGCCATTGTCTGGAAGGAATCTTGGTTTCTGCTTGGACTTGAACTTTTCTTTAGGCCCTCCTTCCTGGAGTCTGACTGAAATAACAGTCAGCTATGTGGGGACTTACAAGATTTGTTCATCTTAAAAAGACTGAAAGTAAAAATAGAGGGCACAAATTCATGAGAAAAAAATGATAGAATAACTTTTATAGAAATAGACTTGAAATGGCAAAAATATAAATAATTGACAGCATTAGGATGTGGGTCAGAAGAAGGCAAGGAAGTTTTGTGAACCTGCATAGATAACACTGGGGTCAGACTAGGGATTGATTAATCAGTGAATTTTCAATGCCTTGAAAGTATCATTTTGTCCCATTAACAGTGAAAACAGGCAGGAATAGACCCATTGCTGCTTCTTGTCAAAATTGGCTTTAACAAGGCTTTACTTCCCTTAGGCTGTGTAGACGAGTATTGAAGAACATAAAAGAATGCTGTGTATTTGGGGGAGGCTTCAGGTCCTGGTGCATAACTGTGGGTTGATTACTTAAAGTGTTTATCATGTACCAATATTACGATATATAAAGTGGCAATGCTAATCTCTAATGCACAGGTAACTGTGCTATTAAATGACATAACTTAGATGGTGTTTGCTAAGGCAATTGTCTAGAAATAAGTGCTCACTAAGTGGGTAAAATTGACGTTCAGAATGTTTATGCCTGAAGTGGATAGTGATGGGGGGAGGGAGAAAATCTACTCCAAAAGCAACCTGAAACTATTTTTATTCAATAATTTAGTGGCTTCAATCTATGTATTCCAAAGCTTCTGCTCTTTTCATTGTGCCATTTGTTCAGCTTTTCTAAGAAATTAAAACTGCCTTATAACACCATTCAAGCGTTGTTTTTATTTTCAGCAAACACCTTTTTCCCCAGACTGCATTCACAAACCTTACTAAGATCCAAGTCAATAAGAGTTTACAGCATTAAGCAAAATAATAGAAAATAATTGATAAAGTCCATCTTTAAGGCTCTATTTATCCTCTGCTTTCCCTTGAGCCTAAGTGGATGCGCAGCTGAGTACATTTATTCATTAATTTAACAGAAGATCATTGAGCTCATACCACATGCCGGTCCACGAGTCAGGTACTAGGCATGCAATGATTAAAACACTCTCACCTCAAAGAGCTCCGCCATGAATGAGAGCCGTTTAAGAAAACAGAATTACGATGAATAATAATTTGAAGCCAAAAGTTAAAATATCTTATTTCACAACTGTAATTGCTGGATGCCCTGCGCGCAGTTGTGGAGCAGCCCTAACTCCACCAGGCCAAGCCTGAAGCTTCCTGCGGCGCGAGCTGTGCAAGTGGGCCTTGCTGGGTGGGGCAGTGCTAGTGGGGCGGACGGGCAGGGGAAGAGGGCGGGCATTCGGGCAGAAAGAACTGCTTAGCGAAGGTAAGGCACGAGGAGGCAAACGCATAAGGCACAAGGCAAGAACATGCAGAGCAGAGGACAAGGCCGATGGACGGGGAGGCTGGGGACACACTGGGCAGCCTAACCCAACCCTGCAGGGAACTAAGGGATGCTTTTGTGCATCCCCCTGCTCTGCCCTAGATCCCCGCCCCTCCGATACTACCCCAGCCTCCAAATCCCCGCCACCTTCCTGTACCCTGGGATGGATCAGGGCTCGGTCCTTGAGGCCGCGCCGTCCTCGCCCCTCTGTGCGCAAGAGACTCGGGCCCCGGCCAAGGGTGAGCCCCGCGGAAGGACGACGACGCTCACCTTGCCGCTGCAAGGTCGTGCGCAGCTCCGCCTCGTAGTTGTGTCTGCACACCTTGTCCACCGCGGCCCGCTCCTGCTCCAAGAAGTCCTTATAGTTGTTCCAGTCCTCGATGCTCCGCCCCAGCTCGGTCACCGCCTGGAACTCCCCAACGTCGCTGTCGAAGCGCCCGTACTCCTCGCGGTTATAGATGTATCTGGCCACACCGCGCACGCGCTCTGTCCCGTTGGTGAAGTAGCACATGCCCTTAAACTGGACCAAGAAATCCTCTGCGGAGAATCACGGCGGGTCAGTCAGGCCCCAGCACGGCCCTAGCCCCAGCCCCCAGCCGGACCGCACCCTTCAGCCGCTGCCCTGACCCGGCCAGCAGCTGCGAAACCCGTCCACGCGAAATTGAGTTCTTGGCTGGGCCCGTGCCTCGTGCTCCGGACCTGGGATCCTCGAGGCATCTCTGCCCCAGCCCTGCCCGCCCTCTCTGAGGGCCTCGGGAATCTGCCTTCCTTTAGGGAGGTAAGAGGGAAAGCCCAGTCCCTGCCTGAGCCTGTGAACCAAGTGAAGAGGGCAGTCGGACCGATTCAACATTGACCTCTGCTCTTAGATCAGGGCGTTCTCGTATGAAATCCCATTTTCCATGGAGCTCTTGGGAATCTCGGAGACAGAGTTATCCACATAAATTTGAGAGTTCAAGGGAATAACGAGAAAGGTTCAGGAATTAAGCTTGTTCTCATCCTGATGTAAGTATTCTCTTGGTCCCTGGGCAAGAGACCAAGTAAACCCATGCCTGGATTTACTCTCTTTCTGCTATACCCGCCCAAGTGCCCTGTGAGGTTCACTCACTTCTGTGTTAGAAAGGACCTACACCTCCGGAGTCCTAGAAGGAAACATTTATTCATGGAAAGAGCCCAAGCTTTTGAATTCTATAGGGTCCAATTAAACTGAGTCAATCACCAGCTTGGGCAGGTTACTTAACAGAATATCCATATCACAAGTATAATTACATAAAAGGAAAATCATGATACCTACACATAGGATGTTAGGAGGAGTGAGAGAGGATTTATAGAAAGTACTGTCCTGTGTCTGAATGGAGTGGTTTCTCAATATGTATTATTTCCCTTCTTTACTTCCTCCTTCCTATCATACTAAATTCAGTCCACCATCAACTCAGGTCCCTGAATCCCACTCAAGTCACCTTTTGCCCATAAATCAGTGAAACCCAAAGTAAGACTCCCTGTCTGTGGTCATCCAGTCACCTTCCCTCAGTACTAAGAGTTTGCCTCCACAAACTCTCCACTCGAGTCAGTAGTATAGACTCCTTTACCTCCAATACAGAGACTACAGACACCATTGCTGCCTTACATTTTCCCAGTGCAGAAAAATCCTACTGTGTCTTTGGGGAAATGTATATCTTTGGGGAAATGCATAACCGTGGAGTGCCATGGTCATTTTGTCCTGTCACAGGTAGTGAATGCACACTTTGTCTCCTCTTTCCTCTCTCCTCCTTCAGGCTTAAACCTGTGGGATTGGGGTTGGATTATCCTCACCTCACCCATTATAAGGTGGAAATAAAAATGCAACATAGCTCTATTTCCCAAAAAGAATAAATGGTGATAAAAGACTGTGTTCTGAGATCATGGAGATCACCATCCCCCATACTCCAACCCAAGGAGAGCCTGTTCCCACAGTGGTGGCTCTCGAGAGCAGCTGCCCTGCACTTACTGGGAAAGTCTCTGGCCTCAGCCACTGGGGTGCTCAGCATCACCAGCATCACGGTCACAGCTGCTGCCCAAAAGCCTCCAGGGATCTGCAGAGCCATCTTCCAAGACGTAAGTGAGACCAAGGAAAAAGCAGTGGTAGTCAACACAGCTCAAACCTAATGGAACTTATGTACCTGCCGGAAAGAATAAAAACCTCTGGATGTTTCCATGTGTGGTAGGATTGGGGAGTCCCTAGGAAAGGAACCAATCAGCACTGGAGCTGAAGGACCTCATCTGCCTCTGGGCAGACGTTTTTCTGTGAAGATTCTCACTCCAATGCCTGGCACTGTTTCTTCTTCAAATTGCACTAGATGAACATTTGAGGTGAAGATTTCTGAATAGCTGAAGATTGAATGGCTTAGGGGTTTTAAGAAGCAAAAGACAAATGTGATTCAAGAGTAGACATCTTACAACCTATTGTTCTTACACTTGGGATTTTTAGTAGGGCAAATTAAGTGAGGATCATATTTCAGGGAACAGAAAATTGTCACAGAAATGTTCACTTCTATTAGACACTCTGAAGAGCCTTAAGTTTTGGTGAGAAGAGCAAAGTTCTTAGAAGGAAATGATGGTGAGTTGCAGTTCTACCACTAATGTGCTTTATGAGAGTCAACAAATTACTGAACTCCTTTTCACCCCCAGGCTTCTCTTTGCAAAATGTGGATCATGTTTTATGCATTTTACATCTAGATCTTCACATATAAAAATTTAACATTAATATGACTAGTTTAATATTACAAAAGCCTCCTCCACTGTTATGTGTAACTATCAGGCTAATAGGAGGAACAAGAAAAAAAAAAGTTGACACCCAGCCCTACTGGCAAGTGATTCTTTATTATGCAAGAAGGTATTGCATTCATGCTCTTCGAGTGAAAGTATTTGTTGACTTTTCTCTTGTAAGTTCTTCAGCTGCTTAAATCCTCCCTGAACCATGAAACAGGTGCATCTGATATGAGCAAAGGCACAATACACAAATTTTACAGTATTCAGACACAGTCACATTTAGTTTTGAAGATAGAGAGCAAAAGCTGTGAAGAAGAATTTCCTGGGGGCTGAATCGTATTAATGATGGAGCAAATGTTTAGAGTTACAGGTCATATTGGGCCAGCCCTAAACATCAAATCCAAAATGGCAGAGGTACCAATGTGTTTTTATAAATAAATTTCTTACTTATCAGGCTTACGTTGCCCATGGCTAGGGATAGTACTAATGGTTATAAAGCAATTAAAACAATGCCTGACAAACATTACTGGTAATCCTAACCAAGACAATAAATATCTCCACCTCTCTTCTTGTCTCCCTTCCTCCCACTCTTCCCTGTATATTAGTAAAGTAGAAGATAGAGAGCATCTAAAAGCAGAATATGTTTACCAGGTAAAAAGAAACAGGGAAGAGACGGTAGCAAGAGGTTTGCAATAGTGGCACATGAAAGCATTGAGCCACTCTAATATTCTGTATTATTCTGTGCATAGATTTAGATCACCTGAGACTGGGAACGTTGTTACTGGGCTTCTAGCAGCAGTGGTGTACTCAGGATCAGGGTAACCCCCAGTCTAAGGAGGGTCTCCACTGGTGCGATGGAAGCATAAAGGAGGAACATCAAACTCAGACCTAGAACGGAACTGGGGGCAAGAAAGAATAGGCAGAGAGGGACCTGAAGATGCCCTCAATGTCCTCTCAGTCCCCACCTCAGCGTCCCTCAGAATAGAGGCCTCTGGCCCACCCCTTCTTCCTGTTCAAAGGGAGAAGCTTCCCTCAGGTTTATTCTGGGGCTGTGAGGCAAAGTCTACGTCAAACCTAGGGACTCCCCAGTCTCATGGGCCTCTTCAAACAGACTTTTTTCTTTTCTTTTCCTTTTTTTTTTATTTTCCTTTTTTCTTTTCTTTTCTTTTTTAGGGACAGGGTCTGGCTCTATCACCTAGGCTGGAGTACACTGGCATGATCATGGCACACTGCAGCCTCAACCTCTTAGGCTCAAGTGATCCTCCTGTCTGAGCCTCCCAAGTAGCTGGGAGTACAGGCACACACCGCCATTCTGTCTAATTTTTTAAAAATTTTTTATAGAAATAGGATTTTGCTATGTTGCCCAGGTTGGTTTCAATGTCCTGGCCTCAAGCAATCCTCCCACCTCGGCCTCCCAAAGCACTGGGATTATAGGTGTGAGCCACCACACCTGGCCACACAGACTTTTCAACTAGCAACGAAAGTGTCAGCTTAGAGCCATTTTCTGACTGGCTAAAACCTCATCTGAGGCCAGGTGCAGTGGCTCACCCCTGTAATTTTCTAGCGCTTCGGGAGGCCAAGGCAGGCAGATCACTTGAGGTCAGGAATTTGAGACCAGCCTGGCCAACATGGTGAAACCCGTCTCTACCAAAAATAAAAAAAATTAGCCAAGTGTGGTGGTGCATGCCTGTAATCTCAATTACTCAGTAGGCTGAGGCAGGCGAATCGCTTGAACCCAGGAGGCAGAGGTTGCAGTGAGCTGAGTTCGCACCACTGCACTCCATTGCACTCCAGCCTGGGGGACAAGAGCAAAACTCTGTCTCAAAACAAAACAAAACAAAAAAAAAAAACACCTAATCTAAAAGGCTTTGGTTTGGGGCTTCTGCCAGTTGTGTCCCCCTGATCCAGCCTTCTCTACAGTTCTTTGCAATGTTCCTATCCCTGCTCCATTACTCAGGGCAGCCACTATTGGCCTGGCCAGAGGAAGGCAACTCAGACAAGCATCCTGATTCTGAATGCCTCGCCCAAATCACCCACCCGGCCTCTGTGGGGACAGAGCGCTTAGGATGAGACCACACGCACCCCATGTGGGAAGATGGGATAAAGACACTGCTGTTATTATGGGTCAAGGTTACACTAGGGAGACTCTCCCCAGGGCACATTGTCTCTTCTTTCAGGGCAGAAAAAGGTTGTGGACTCCTTCTTTGTGGAATCAAGGGAGAAATCATCTTCCCTGGTCAGCATCTCTTAGAATCTGTGCCTGGTCAGTGCAGTTGAATGTAAACACAGGAGTCATCCTGTCACCAGAAGGGTTATCCAGGACTCTGTCCTGCAATTACTTCCAGAATCAAGAAACACTGTAGAGTCAGAAAGGTTCTGTGGCCTCCTTAATGCCGGTGGTAACATAATTAGAAATACGGCCCCAGAATATCATTTTCCTTTAATAAAAATTTATCAAGTAATTATCTCCAAATTTTTCAAAACCTTGTGAAGCTACTTACATATTTCTCTTATATCAACTTTTAGGTAACCGGTTACATGAATTTTTCATGACACATATAAGGTAGGCCTTTTCTCTTTAAACAGTTATCTCTTTAAAATGACAATTTAGAAAGTCTGAAGAGAGAGTCTGTAGCATTCAGAGGCTGTGCTCAAACAGTGCCTCCTTCAAGCAAGTAACCATGGGGAGACTCCATAGTGGAAGTCAGGTAAGGACTTGGAGGATACCGCAGGGTGAAGGACTAGGAGTATGGGAAAAGCTTTAGCAGGAAGATAGAAAATCAGATGATACAAGGCATTTGGGACACTTGGGGGAAATGGGGAAGGTGAGTGATCTCTGGCACAGGAGTCCAGAGCCCACCAGTCTCATGGCTTCTCATGCAGTATGGAAATGGCCCTTGAAAACAGAAGAAGACTGGGACGAAAACCCAGGCTGCCTGCTATGGACGTGTGTACAACGGAGCTTTGTTTCCTGATCTGTTTCTACAGGTTTCTTCTTCCAGTCAATCTCATCCATGCATCACCTCAGCTGGACCACTGACGATTTCATCACCCAGAGCTAACCTACACATGTCACTCTTTGCAACATATCTGTTCGTCTCTACTTCTGGTTCCCTAGTAATGCCTGGGATATTTCCAGAGACAACTCTTCCCCAGCTTCTAGATTTGTAGTCATCATGTGCCTTCATTCCCAGACAAACCTTAAATATCTCTCTATGAGATCTTTATAATGTCTTCTTCTACAAGTTCTTACCAGTAGAGAGAAGAACTAATATTCAGGTATGTAAAAAATATTTCAGTCCTATTTAAGCTCATGTCCAAGTACTCAAGAATTCAAGTGTCCAGCTCAGCTCAAGGTCATGGTTCATGCAAAAAAGCAACATTAGCAGTAATATTTTGGGGGGACTACTCATATCCTCAAATAGGAAAACTTAAGATATTCAATTTAAACCTCAATGACATATCAATCCATGCTTTTCAGGATGACTATTATCAAAAAGACAAAAAATAACAAGTGTTAACAAGGACGTGGAGATAAGGGAACATTTGCACACTGTTGGTGGGAATGTAAATTAGTATGGCCACTAGGGAAAACATTATGAAGGTTCTTCAAAAAGTTAAAATAGAACTGCCATATGATGTAGCAATCCCACTTCCAGGATACAGACAAAGGATTTTAAATCAGTAGGTTGAAAATATATCCACACTCCCATGTTCATTGCAGCATTATGCACAATAGTCAAGGTATGAAATCAACCTGTGTCATTCAGCAGATGAATGGGTAAAGATAATGTATGTATACACAATGGAATTCTATTCAGGCTTTAAAAAGAAAGAAATCCTGGTGTAAGCCGAAAAGTGACTGAGGCAGGTCTCAATCAATTAGAGGTTTATTTTGCCAAGGTTCAGGATGCACCTGGGAAAAACACGAATCACAGGAGCATCTGTGATCAATGCTTATTCCAAAGAGGGTTTTGAGAACTTCAATGTTTAAAAAGAAAGAGTAAGCAGGAAGGGAAAGAGAGAGGAAAAAAAAAAAAAAAGGAGGGAAGGTAGGCAATGACACAAGTGGTTACATTCTTGTGAGTCTGATTAGCCTCAGTAAATCTACATTTTACATGTGAAAAGAGGGAGTAGAGGAAAAAGTCACTTATGCAAAAACAATAACATTGTAGAATCTTCCCAAAAGATTCATTTTCTATTCTCACAGACCGACAATTCCACTCAAGTTAATTTCTGCAAAAGCATCCTAACTGGTCTTCCTGCCTCTACTTTATAATGTCAACATTGCTCATAAATCCAAGTTAATCTCTCTGAGTATGAGTTTCTTTAACTGCAAAATGAGAATATTATCTATTCCATAGAGTAATGCCAAGGATTAAATGAAGTGGCAAATATATAGCATCTAAAATAGTTTTGAACACATAGTAGATGCTCAATAATAATTTTTTTTAATTTTTAATATAATTTTAATTCAATAGCTTTTAGGTTACAAGTGGTTTTTTGTTATATGGATGAATTGTATAGTGGTGAAGCCTGGAATTTTAGTGAACCTGTTACCTGAGTAGTGTGCATTGTACTCAATATGTAGTTTTTTATCCTTCACCCTCCTTCCCATCCTCCCCAATTTCTTACTCTCCATTGTCCTTTATACCATTCTGTATGCCTTTGAGTACCCATAGCTTAGTACCCACTTAGCTCCTACTTACAAATCAAAACATATGGTATTTAGTTTTCCATGCCTCAATTAGAAGTTGTAAATTTTGATGGAGTCCAATTTATATATTTTTTTTTCATTTCTTGCCTATGCCCTCGGTGTTATATCCAAGAAATCATTGCCTAATCAAATATCATGAAGATTTTCCCTATTTTTTTTCTAAGAGTTTTATGGTTTTAGTTTTCACATTTAGGTCTTTGATTCATTTTGAGTTCATTTTGTCTATAATGTAGGGTAAGAGTCCAGTTTCATTCTTTTGTATGTGGACTTCCAGTTTTCCCAGCACCATTGTTGAAAAGGCTGTCCTTTCCGCATTTAATGGCCCTGGCACTCCTGTTGAAAATCGTTTGACTATATATGTCAGGATAATTTCCTGGTTTTGATATTGCACTTTAGTTATGTAAGATGTTACAATTGGGGAAAACTGGATGAAGGCTATACAGAATCTTTTTGTTCTATCTTGGTAACTCCCTTTGAATCTACAATTATTTCAAAATATAATGTTAAAAAAGCAAAGCCAACCGAAATAATGTGTTTATCTTTTAACAAACTAATTCAATAAGATACCTAATAAAAATTACCCAATGTGAAATACAAAGAGAAAAGAAGAGCAGGGGAAAAACAAAACAGATCATCCAAGAGCTGCAGTGCTGTATTGAATGGTTACATCACCTTTGTTTGTTTGTTTGTTTGTTTGTTTGTTTGTTTTGAGACAGGGTGTCACTCTGTTGCCCAGGCTGGAATGCAGTGGTGCGATCACAGCTCACTTCATCCCCCACCCTCGCCCCCAACTCAGGCAGTCCTCCCGTCTTAGCCTCTTGAGTAGCTGGGAATACCAGCACCATGCTTGCCCACTTAATTTTTCTCTCTTTGTAGACAAGGTCTCCTTATGTTGCCCAGGCTGCTCTTTAGGTTCAAGCATTCCTCCCACCTCAGCCTCCCAAAGTGCTGAGATTACAGATGTGAAACATTGTGCCAGGCTTATTTTTTTAATGTACTTTTACTCTCTTTCTCTCTTTGTGTTTCACTCTGGGTAATTTTTATTGATCTATTTCAAACTCACTGATTCTTCCCAGGGCTGTACCACATTTGCTGATGAGCTTGTCAAATGCATTCTTTATTTTTGTTAATTTATTTTTATTTTATTTCCATTTCATTCATCCTTAAAGCTTTCATATCTCTGCTGAAACTGTCTAATCTTGCATGTTGTCTACCTTTTCCATTAGAGATTTTAGTATATTAATCACAGTTTATGAAGCAGGTTTACTAATTACCAATACCAAGGGAGGAAAGGGAGGACTTCCACTGCATGGAGAATAGAAAAGATCATCACTATGCCAACCACCAGGAAAAGAGGTCCAGATACTTCTTCCCACTGCATTCTGAGCTACTGTTTATGTCCACCATGCACTGGCTACCTGTTTATCTGAGTCTGGTGAAACAGAACACACTCACACACAAATTATGTGAAGCAGTTTTATTACTTACAGATCAGTAGCAAGGGACAGAAGAAGCCTCAGCTCCATTGTGAGTCAGTCTCCTAAAGCTCAAGAAAGCTGCCCAGGAGAGATGAAGTCTTAACCGCACCAATTACTCTATTATAGCCTAAAGTGTAAGTCACAGCTCAAACTCTTGATCACTTCATTCATATTACATGTTCCAAAAAACAACCACAGGAAAACTTCTCCAACAGTAACTTTGCATGAACTCATGTGTTCTGTCAATCGAGAAAAATGGCAAGTCTCAATCATTTTAGGAGGTTTATTTGCCAAAGTTAAGAATAAGCACCCAGGAGACAGGTCTATACCTTTCTCCGAAGATAATTTTGAGGGCTCTAAATTTAAGGGGAAAGGGTAGGGATATTGAGAAGTACACAATTTTCATGTAAGAGGAGGGTAAGGAAAAATAGTCATTCATGCCTTTGTCTGGCTCAGTTAATCTGCATTTTTTTTACATAAGATGACATAGACAAAACGGGGGAAGGGGAACAATTAGATATGCGTTTGTGGCCGGGCGCGGTGGCTCATGCCTGTAATCCTAGCATTTGGGGATGCTGAGGCAGGCAGATCACTTGGGGTCAGGAGTTTGAAACAGGCCTGGCCAACATGGTGAAACCCTGTCTCTACTAAAAGTACAAAAAAAAAAAATTAGCCAGGCATGGTGGCAGATGCCTGTAATCTCAGCTACTTGGGAGGCTGAGGCAGGAGAATCACTTGAACCCGGGAGGTGGAGGTTGCAGTGAGCCAAGATCGCGCCACTGCACTCCAGCCAGCATGACAAAGCGAGACTCCGTCTCAAAAAAAAAAAAAGAAAAAAAAAAAAGATATGCATTTGTGTCTTCTGGGCAGGGGCGTGACTACACCTGTAAAGATAAGCTACCAATTTACATTGCCATGGTAAAATTTTAACAGAAACACCTTAGAGTAAAGATCTTGCAGCTCACAAGGACTTTCCTTGTGGACAAAATATGAGGGAGGCATGTAGCTTTTCATTTTGTAGCCATCTTATTTAGGAACCAAAAAGGGGGAGGCGGGTTTTCGCAACCCCGTTCCCAGATTAACTTTTCCCTTAGGCTTAATGAGTTGGAGTCCCAAGATTTAATTTCCTTTCATAGTTCTAAAACTATGACCAAGTGTTCATTTCTTCCTGATAGGCACTTAGCACACTGACCATGTGCCTTAAATTGTCCATATGATGCGAAGAGCTATAAATCCATGGAGTCGTAAGTTTGGGGATACCAACCACAATCCATCTGCAGCAGAAGTGGTTCCTTTGGAACCAAGCTTGAACAGGTCTAAAAACTAGGTTGTTCTTCTGGTTTAGTGACAGAGACTACTATCCCAGATGAAAATACAATAGTCTTTTAGTGCTTCTATGCATGGTCATGTCTGTCAGTAGACACTAAAACAATCATAATTCAAGAACAGAGTAAATAGTAACATAGACCCTTCTGGAATAGTTGTCTCTGTCACCAAAACAGAAAAACAAACTAGACTAAATTCAGAGGATGAGGGGAATCAAGAATGGCTTGTGAAGGAGGGAAACAAATATTAGTTACAGTCATAATGACAACTATAATAGTAGACACTGTAGCAAATTTCACTAACTTTCTTGCCTTAATCTTCTAGATCACAATTGATCACTCTTGTACCTCCCTTCTTGAGGAAAAATTAAAATGTGTTAATTTTCTCAGGAAAAAAAATGAAAGGCACCATATTGGACTATGGGAGCTTGGAATTCTGAATCACCACCTGGAGAAAAGTGACTCACAAATCTTCAATATCCTCCTTCTGCTACATTAGTGAGTTATAAACTTCTACTATATTTCAGCCACAATACACATTTTAGTCTATTTGTTGCAGCAGTTTGGCCTATTCTAATTAGTATAAAAAGAAGAAAAAATAATCATAGAAAAAAATTAAATGAAGAATATAACAATTTTAATAGTTTCTCCTGACTTAGACTCACCTGAAATGATCCTCATTCTTTGTTTTAGGATTAGCAGAGATGTAAGACAGAATTTCATGAAAATATTCAACCTGGTGGATGATGCCAAATTAGCAGTTAGCGTGTGTGCCTGGAATTCAAACCATACAAATCCTCCCTGCCCACCTCTCATCCTATCCTTTAGAGCAGAGCCTGTTTCTCATATATTGCCCCCAAGTCTATATCAATCAAATTAATTTTTATTATCCTGAAAACACCTATAGAAAGACTAACATGTTGAAAGTTATATTTAAATATGGGCACTCTGCTTCATACTCTTTTGCCAATATTACTTCAAAACTGTACAAACCTATATTCTTTGCATTTGTGGGAAATTATTATATTGTAGATAAGGCTAAAATATTTTGTGAATCAAAACATACTATAAAAAGTTGGAAAGAAAGACTTCATTTGGATGTAAATACATGAAAATAGCAGCCCAGACACTCAAGACAAGAGGAATAATAACTAAGTGACCACAAAGGAAATTTTTTATCACATGCCTGGCTGTTCCAGACAGGGAAGCTTGCTTTACCTGAAGGAAGTGGTCACTAGACCACAATGTAACCAAATACAGGATTCTGCTTTAAAAAAAAAAAAAAAAAAGATTCACAAAAGTCACGTTCAAGTTAAACCATTAAATACTTTCCTCTCCAACTAATGAGAAGATGTGGGGCCTCATTAATTCTCTCTGGCAGATTAGGTCAATGAATCCATTCCAGAAAAAAAATTATTGAAAAGAGCCATAAATATACAAAATATCAAAGCAGTCATGTGTGCAATTCACAGAAAAGAATAGAAATTTACTTAAGGACAGAAAGAAGTTTAGTAAACAATGATACCACTTTCTTGGACAGGGCAATTTGTGTCACTTTTCCAGACAAAATACATGGACTTGGTGATGCTTTAATCTAAATAGTAATAAGACAGTTTTATTAACAAAATGTTTCTAACTTTCAAGAGCGGTATACAAAAACAACTATTGATAAAAATAAGGAGAGGTACTCTAATAGATGTTTACAAATGATTATAAAGCTAAACAATTAAAACATGTTCATAGTGCCCCAAAAAAAGGACAACTGTGGAATGATATTGGCTGCACATAAACAGAACCTAATTTATGCCACAATTAATGAAATTGAAAATTTTGTTTACAATAGCCCCCTCTTATCCATGGGAGATATGTTGCAAGGCACCCCAAAGGATGCCTGAAGGCATGTACCAAACTCTGTATATGCTATGTTTTTCTACACATACAAACATATGATATAGTTTAATTTACAAATTGTGCAGTCATAGGTTAACAACAATAACTAATAATAAAATAGAACAATTATAACAATATACTGTAATAAAAGTTATGTAAATGAGATCTGTCTCTCTCTTTCTCTGTCTCTTTCTCTCTCCCCTCTTCTCAAAATATCTTATTGTACTAAACACCTATATTTTCACACTGTGATTGATTGACCACCAGTAACTGAAACTGTGGAAAGTGAAACCATCGATAAGGGAGGACCACTGTATTACATTTCTAGGAAGTCGCAAACCCTTTGAGAAAATTTTGGGATGGGAGACAAACATATTTCTAAGAAGCCTTCAATGTTACAGGTTATATTCTTCACTTCTTCAAGGTACATAAGGGCCCACTCTACTCTTCTGGAGTCTATCCAAATTTGTAGGGTAATGGGCTGTAGCTAATGAGGAATGGAACTCAGTGGGATGTAAGGGGTCCGGAAACAAGTTTTTTGAAATATACTTGATTGTCATGACACCAATATGGAACGAAAGAGAAAGCAGCATAGTGATGAGGAAATTATGGTGAGATTTTTAGGACAAGAAGCTATTTTAAAAGAATTTTAAATCATTTTTCTTGGTGTTAGAAATACAATCCTAATTTGATATTTTTCAAGAGGTTGCAATATAATTTGAAGTATTTGAAATGGAGTACGGGGAAATTTGCTCTGGCCTCTCTAAAGAACATCATACTGGGACTGCTTTCAAGGATAGAACAAGTTATCCTGCATTTATGTTGGATAAATTAAGAATGTAGTGCATAATAAAGCAAACTTTTAATCCAGTGGAATAGGAAAAATTACTAAAAATAGTGTTGGGTCAATTAGTGAGTTAGTGGGATAGTAAAAAGAGCCCATACATACACACATACAGAGATTATACTGAGGCAGATTAAAAGTTTAAATGAGAAGGAACTCAGAACTGAGGAGGAACCACCCAGAACATGCTTGCTAGTAACACATCTTCCCACCCCCTTATGAATAATCATGTAAGACTCCCATAAAGGGAGTTTCCCCAGTAACATTCAACACTGTCTCACCCGCACAAGCAACCTGCCCTGAATTGTCTCTTGGGGTGTACTGTTGATTCTGCACCTAACTTTCAGAGTATCCTTTCTCCTTTGCAATAAATTGCTCTATGTTGTATCTCCTTTGCTGTGTGTCTCTTGTTTAAATTCTTTTAAACTAGGAAGACAAGAACCGAAGTTTCATGAAAGCCATCAACAAAAATATAGAAAAAAAAAGTAAATATTTATTTTATTAAAAAGTGGTGAGATGAGTTTAAATAACAAAACAAAGAAAGAAACCATACAGGAAAGTATTCTTAGACTATACTAAGAAAAAGTAAAGAATTAATATGTGAAAGGTATATCAATTTTAAGCATTCTGTTTATGTCAAAGGTGCTTATGGTGCAGTATGTAAAATTTAAATAAACAAAGCATATTGTATTAATTTTCTAGCCACTGTCATAACAAATTAGTAGAAACTTTGCAGCTTAAAACAACACCCATTTTTATCTCAGTTTTCTAGGTCAGAAGTCTAGGCAAAGCTCAACTGGGCTCTCTGCTTAGGATCTCACAAGACTGAAGTCACAAGCTGACCTTATAATTCTCATTTGAATATGGAGTCCTCTTCCAAGCTCACTGCCTGTTGACAGAATTTATTTCCACGTATGACTGAGGTCCATGTTTTCAAGCTGGCTATCAGCCAGGGATCAGTATCAGCTCCCAGTGACCACTCTCAGTTCCTTGCCACATGGCCCTCTACGTCTTCAAAGTCAGTAATAGGGAGTCTTTCTCATGTTTAATCTCTCTCTTCAAGAAAAGTTCAGTCCCTTTCAAGGGCTCACCTAATTAGTTCATGCTCACCTACAATAATTTCCTTTTCATAAGGCTAATTGCAGTCAAAACATAACCCAATCACAGTAGTGATCATACCATTAAATTTACTGGTTACTATTGGGAGCAAGCCCCCCAAAATCTGGCCATAAACTGGCCCCAAATTTATGGCCCAGTTTATGGCTATAAACTGGGCCATAAATAAAATCTCTGCAGCACTATAACATGTCCATAATGGCCCTAACGCCCAAGCTGGAAGGTTGTGGGTTTACGGGAATGAGGGCAAGGAACACCTGGCCTGCCCAGGGCAGAAAACCACTTAAAGGCATTCTTAAGCCACAAACAAAAGCATGAGCAATCTATGTCTTAAGGGCGTGTTCCGGCTGCAATTAATTCAACCCATCCCTTCATTTCCCATAGGAATACTTTTAGTTAATTTAATATCTATAGAAACAATGCTAATGACTGGTTTGCTATTAATAAATATGTGAGTAAATCTCTATTCAGGGCTCTCAGCTCTGAAGGCTGTGAGATCCCTGATTTCCCACTTCACACCTCTATATTTCTGTGTGTGTGTCTTTAATTCCTCTAGCGCTGCTGGGTTAGGGTCTCCCTGACAAAGCTGGTCTCGGTAGGTTCCACCCACATTTAAAGGAAAGGAATTTTATAAGGTATGTACAACAGGGGGTGATAGATATTCCTGGGGGCCATCTTAGAATTCTGCTTTCCTTCTCACCTCTTCAGCCCTCTGGCCACCTGTAATTCATGTCCCTCTCAAATGTAAAATACATTAATCCCTTCTCAAGGACCCCCCAAAGTCTCATTCCATTACAGCCTCAGATCAAGGCCAATATCCTGTCTAAATCTTGTTAGCTCAAAGTCCAAATTCGCAGTGCCTTCATGCCAAATTACAGGACTTGAAGATGTGAGAATTAGGAACTTGACAGAATATCTAATTATAATTGCTAACAGTCATGAGATTAGTTTATTAATTAAAATCTCACCTGGGAACCAAGTGTATAAATGTCATTGAATCCCTGGGGATAGAGACAGGGAAGCACAGGGATCTGATGATATTCATAGTCACTTAACAAAAAAGACTAGGTGGTATTTTTTTCACCCACACCTAGCTTTGCTGGCATTGAGAAGACACACCTAAGAGAATAATTAATCATACCTACAGGACTCCTTCTTCACTGAGACAGAATAACAATGAAGTCATTATTATTGGTGTCATCTGCACTCTACTTATTTATACTTCATATACTTACATAGTATATACCAGAACACTTAAATTAATTTCATCTCCAATTACTGTATATTCTTTTTTTTTTTTTTTTGAGACAGAGTCTCACTCCATTGCCCAGGCTGGAGTGCAGTGGCACAATCTTGGCTCACTCTGCAACTTCCATCTCCTGGGTTGAAGGGATTCTCCTGCCTCAGTCTCCTGAGTAGCTGGGATTACAGGCATGTGCCACCACACCCGGCTGATTTTTGTATTTTTAGTAGAGACAGGGTTTCCCCATGTTGGCCAGGCTGGTCTCAAACTCCTGAACTCAGGTAATCCGCCTGCCTCGGCCTCCCAAAGTGCTGCGATTATTTTGTATTCTAGATGTCGATTTTGCTGTGTTAATTAATTTCCTGATGATTGCAATAGAATACCTGAAACTGGGTAATTTATAAAGAATCAAAATTTATTTCTGGAGGCTGGGAAGTCCAAGAGCATGGTGCCAGCATCTGGTGAGAGCCTCCTTGCTAGTGGGGACCCTCTGCAGAGTCCCATTGTGGTGCAAGGCATCACACAGCAAGCAGGCTGAGAGGGCTACCTCAAGTATCTCTTTCTCCTCTTATCAAACCCTTAGTGCCCCATCACCCCATCCTCATGACCTCATCTAATACTAATTACTTCTCACATGTCCCACCCCTAAAATATCATGGTCTGTTTTCTTACCCTTTTATTCTGTTACAATAGGGATTAAGTTTCTACATAAGATTTAGAGGAGCAAACTTTCAAACCATAGCATTTCACCCCTGCAGCCTCAAAACTCATATTCTTCTCACATTCAAATACATTCATTTTATCCCCAGAGCCCCAAAGTCTTAACTTTCTCTAGTACCAACTCAAAAGTCCAAAAGTCCAAAGTCCTTATCTGTGAGCCTGAGATACTAAAGCCAATTATCTACCTCCAAGATACAATGCTGGGACAGGAGAAATGGGCCAGAAGAAAGAAGTAACAGGCCTCAAGGAAGTCTGAAACTCAACAGGGAAAGACATTAAATTTTAAAGCTGGAAATAATGTCTTTTGACTCCATGTTCCTCATCCTGAGCACACAGGGGCAGAAGTTGGGCCCCCAAGACCTCAGGCAACCCTGCCCTCATGGCTTTGCTGGTTGCAGCCCACATATGGCTGTTCTCATGGGTTGGAGTCAGGTGCCTTGGGTTTTCGAAGCTGGGACTGCATGCTGGTAGCTCTACAGTTTTGGAGTCTTGGTGGCAGTCCCACTGTCACAGCACCACTAGATATTTCCCTGGGGAGGACTCCCTGTAGCAGTTCCAACCCCACAGTTCCTCTCAGCATTGCCCTAGCAGAGGCTCTTGGTGGTTGAAGGGGTGGGTCGCCCCTCCACACCTGTGGGTGTTTCTCATTAGGTGGAACGAGAGACTTGGAAAAGAAAAAGACACAGAGACAAAGTATAGAGAAAGAAATAAGGGGACCCAGGGGACCAGCGTTCAGCATATGGAGGATCCCGCCGGCTTCTGAGTTCCCTTCGTATTTATTGATCATTCGTGGGTGTTTCTCAGAGAGGGGAATGTGTCAGGGTCACAAGACAATAGTGGGGAGAGGGTCAGCAGACAAACACGTGAACAAAGGTCTTTGCATCATAGACAAGGTAAAGAATCAAGTGCTGTGCTCTAGATATGCATACACATAAACATCTCAATGCTTTACAAAGCAGTATTGCTGCCTGCATGTCTCACCTCCAGTCTTAAGGCGGTTTTTCCCTATCTCAGTAGATGGAACGTACAATCGGGTTTTATACCGAGACATTCCATTGCCCAGGGACGGGCAGGAGACAGATGCCTTCCTCTTGTCTCAACTGCAAGAGGCATGTCTTCCTCTTATACTAATCCTCCTCAGCACAGACCCTTTACGGGTGTCGGGCTGGGGGACGGTCAGGTCTTTCCCTTCCCACAAGGCCATATTTCAGACTATCCCATGGGAAGAAACCTTGGACAATACCTGGCTTTCCTAGGCAGAGGTCCCTGCAGCCTTCCGCAGTGTTTGTGTCCCTGGGTACTTGAGATTAGGGAGTGGTGATGACTCTTAAGGAACATGCTGCCTTCAAGCATCCGTTTAACAAAGCACATCTTGCACAACCCTTAATCCATTTAACCCTGAGTTCGACACAGCACATGTTTCAGAGAGCACGGGGTTGGGGGTAAGGTCATAGATTAACAGCACTCAAGGCAGAAGAATTTTTCTTAGTACAGAACAAAATGGAGTCTCCTATGTCTACTTCTTTCTACACAGACACAGTAACAATCTGATCCCTCTTGCTTTTCCCCACAGTGGTGGCCCTGCCCCTGTGGCAGTTTTCTCCCTGGGTTCCCAGGCAGTCTGATACATCCTTTGAAATCTAGGTGGAGATTTCTATGCCTTCCCACTAGTCTTGCATCCTGAAGACCTGCAGAAATAGCACCACATGCATGTGGACATTGCCAAGGCTTACTGCTTGTGCCCTCTGCAGCTACAATATGAGTCACATCTAGGGCCACTTGAGCTATGGCTGGAGCAACCAGGATGAGGGAAGCACTGTCCTGAGGTGGCATTGGGCAGCAAGCCCATGGAGGACACCCCAGGCCTGTCTCCTGAAACCATTCTTTCCTCCTAGAGCTCTGGGCCTGTGATGGCAGGGGTAGACTTGAAGATCTCTAAAGTGCATTCAGTGTTTGTCTCCCATTGTCTTGATGAATAGCTTCTGGCTTTATTCTATTCATACAATTCTCCTTATCAATCAGTCCCTCCTTATCAATCATTCCTTCAGACACACCCTTGGTTTCCTCTGTTGAAAATGCTCTTTCAGGGCCAGGCTGCAAAATTTCCTAATCTTTCCACTTAGCTTCCCTTTTAATTATAAATTCCACCTTTAAGTTATTTTTTACCTCTCACAGCTTTAATGTAAGCAGTTAAAAGTAGCCATGCAGCTGCCTGACTGCTTTGCTGCTTAGATATTTCTTCTGCCATATAGCCTAATAAAGCCATCAGATATAGACACAATTCAGAACCAAGTTTTTCACGCATTTATAACAAGGATGGCCTTTACTTCAGTTTCCAATTCCTTGTTCCTCAGACCTGAGACCTCAGCAGAACAGCCCTTACTGTCCATATTTCTATTGACATTCTGGTCCTGACCACTCAAATCATCACAAAGGAGTTCCAGACTTTTCCTAGTCTTCTTGACTTCTTCTAAGCCCTCACCAAAATCACCCTTTATCACCAGAATTGACATTTAAGGCAATACAGGCTTTTTCTCGCCTGCCTTTTTTAGTTCTTTTAACCTCTACCCATTACCCAGTTCCACAGCTGCTTCCACATTTTCAGATATTTGTTATTAGCAACAGCCCAACTTTTTAGTACCAATTTTCTGCCTTAGTCTGTTTCTTGTTGCTTGTAACAGAATGCCAAAAATTGGGTAATTTATGAAGAAACAAAATTTATCTCTTATGGTTCTGGAGGATGAGAAGTCCCAGAGCATGGTGCCAGCATCTGGTGAGAGTCTTCTTATTGGTGGGCCTTCTGCCGAGTTCTGATGAGGTGCAGAGCATCATGTGACAAGAGGGCAAAGGGGTATGGCTCAAGGTCTCTGTTTCTCCTCTCAATGCCCCACCCTCAAGACCTCATCTAATCCTAATTACTTCCCAAAGGTGCCACCTCTCAAATACCATAGTTGGATTTACAGCCCTCTTAATACTATTACTATGGGGATTAAGTTTCAATATGAGTTTCAGAGAAAATAAACATTCAAACCATAGCATTGCCCATCTCTTTTACTCTCCTCCCTCCTCTTCTTTTCTGTACTCCACTGTCCCTGTCCAGAGGTTTTATTTAGCCACTCCACCTCAGCCCATCAGGCTTCCAATCAAAATCCCAGTTCTTCAGTGATCATTCAGATTTATTGTCCTGTTGTAATATCTGGAACAATAACAATCTTCTCAGGACAGTTGTTTTTTATTTGCTTCAGTTCCTTTTGAGAAAGTTATTCTGTGTCTTCTCACTTCCTTATATCTATAGCATACAAGTGTTTGAAAACATTCTCCTCAACCTCCTTTAAAATCATGGGGAGCCCAACCTCAGCTCCTAGCCAGAAGCAGAAAGTCAAAATTTGGCTCTCTTTCCTCCATAGAGCACTTTTGGTTTCTTTCCCACTTAGGAATTAAATTCCCAGCCAATAATGCCTACTTTCAGGCATAGAAGTCAAGACTTCAGCCCTACTCACCATATGCATATCTATCTTATTTGAAGTTCTCAGGAAGAACTTTTGTATCTACACTCATACTTTTTAATCCTTTTTAGTACATTGCTTCATATAGCTTTCTTGGTGGTGGTTGTACTTATTACAATATATACATATAACTTATCACAGTCTACTGGTATTGATGTTTTACCACTTTGAGTGAAGGATACAGTCCGTATCTCTATTACCATTAGCATATTTTACCCTCTCTACTTTTTAAATGCAATTGTATTAAGTATTTCTTCCACATGCATTCCCATCCACAGTTTGGATATTTGTCCACTCCAAATCTCATGTTGAAATTTGATCCCCAATGTTGGAGGCAGGGCCTAATGGGAGATGTTTAGACCATGGGGGCAGATCCCTCATGAATGGCTTTGTGCTAATGTCATGATCCTAATGCTTGTTTTATTCCTCAATGTCATCATTGATTCAACCATAGCTTTTATTTTTAATTTGCTTTTTGTTTGTTTGTTTTCTTTTCTTAACTATTATTTTAAGTTCGGGGTACATGTGCAGTTTTGTTACATAGGTAAACTGTTTCATGGAGGTTTGTTGTACAGATTATTTTGTCAAACAGTTATTAAGCCTAGTACTTATTAGTTATTTTTCCTGATCCTCTCCCTCTTCCCACCCTCCACCCTCTGATAGGCCCCAGTGTGTGTTGTTTTCCTTTATGAATTCATGTGTTCTCATAATTTAGCTCCTATTTATAAGTGAGGACAAACAGTATTCGGTTTTCTGTTCCCCCATTAGTTTGCTAGGGATAATGACTTTCAGCTTCATCCATGTCTCTGCAAAGGACATGATTTTGTTTCTTTATGGCTGCATAGTATTCCATGGTGTATATGTACCACATTTTATTTATCTAGTCTATCATTGATGGGCATTTAGGTTGATTCCATGTCTTTGCTATTGTGAATATGCTGCAATGAACATATACATGCATGTGCCTTTATAATAGAAAGATTTATATTCCTTTGGGTATATACCCAGTAATAAGATTGCTGGGTTGAATGGTATTTCTGTCTTTAGGTCTTTGAAGAATCTCCACACTGTCTTCCCCAATGATGAACAAAACCTCTGAGAAATATGGGGTTATGTAAAGAGTCCAAATCTATGACTGATTGGTGTCCCTGAAAGAGATGGAGAGAATGGAACCAACTTGGAAAACATAGTTCAGGATATCATCCATGAGAACTTCCCCAACCTAGCTAGAGAGACCAACATTCAAATTCAGGAAATGTACAGAACCCCAATAAGATACTTCACAAGACTTTTATCCCCAAGACACACAATTATCAGCTTCCCCAAGGTCAAAATGAAAGAAAAAAATGTTAAAAAATAAAAAATAAAAACAACTAGAGAGAAAGATCAGGTCACCTACAAAGGGAAGTCCATCAGACTAACAGCAGACCTCTCAGCTAAAACCCTACAAGCAGAAGAGATTGGAGGCCAATATTCAATATTCATAAAGAAAAGAAATTCCAACTCAGAGTTTCATAATTGGCCAAATGAAGCCTCATATTGAAGGAGAAATAAGATCCTTTTCAGACGGGCAAATGCTGAGCAAATTCATTACCACCAAACCTACCTTACAAGAGCTTCTGAAGGAAGCACTAAATATGAAAAGGAAAGACTGTTACCAGCCACTACAAAAACACACTGAAGTACACAGACCAGTGACACTATAAAGCAACCACATAAACAAGTCTGCAAATTAACCAGCTAACATCATGATGACAGGAGCAAATCCACACATATCAATACTAACCTTAAATGTAAATCAGCTAAATACCCCAATTAAAAGACACAGAGTGACAAGCTGGATAAAGAACCAAGATGTATTGGTATGCTGTCTTCAAGAGACTCATCTCACATGTAATGACACACAGGCTCAAAATAAAGAGATGGAGAAAAATCTACAATGCCTTTTTTCCTTAAAATTTGTTTTTTACATTAATAAATTGATATCATTTTTCAAAATTAGTATTTGCATGATATATCCTTTCTGTCTTTTACACTCAATCTCTGAAATGACTTTTATGCTTTAGACATATGTCTTGTAAACAGTATAATCTGAATTTGTATTTTTGCATTCAATTTGTCAGTCTCTGTCTTTTGATCACAAGTCAAGTCTATTTGCATTTTACTGAAATAAATAACATATATGGATCTTTATATTATCTCACATTTTTCATTTCGGTCTTTTCCATGATTTCAATGACTTTTTTCCTGTTAGCCCATTTCTATAACCCATTCTAGCATGTGTATCAGGCTGGGATGGCAGGTGGATTCATTCTAACCTCTACCTTGAGATGTGTTTTCAGACTCTGTTAAGGTTTACATTGCTCATTTCTGGCATCCTCCTTCACATAAGAATTACTGATCCAGGCCCAGCCATTTGTAGATTTTGAGACATTGTTCTGGCTGTCTGCATATGGCCTGTCTCTGGACTTAACATCCCATGTCCTCACTCAGACTACATAACTTTAGACCCACCCTATTACTATGGACTCCCTGTCTATTTGTATTTTTTCAGCAAAACGTCTAAAAGTAATTATCAATATTCTTGAAACATTAACTTGATAGATTCTTGTAAAATCACATAATCTATTGAAAATTATATGGGTGCTCTAAACTATACCCCCTGGATAATCTTACCTGTACACAGTTTGAATAGATGTCCTTTACAGCTAGAATAATGATACTAGTTAAAATCAGAGGACTAATCCATGGGTAGATCATTTCAAAATTTACTCTGAGGCTTAAAAGGAAATATATTTTGTAAAGCAAGAAAGTATATTTTCCAAGATCCAATTAGCAATGAAGGCATCCTAATAGTATCTGGGATCCTCACATGTGAAAAAAATAAACTAGATTACAAAAGAGAGGATTTACATACACTTAGTTCTTGCAGGAGGAAAGGAACTATCTAGACGTTGTTATTTTGTTCAAAATAAGTATAAGTACAAAAATCTGTGGTAGTAAATCTAGTGCACTATTCTTACATGTGACACTAATAACCCAAGGAAAAATAATAAAATATTTCTGCTTCTTTTGAAATGAGCCTGTCATGGCCTGCATGGAAGTTCACTACTGATAAGCACTTTGTTTCTTTATTCCCTTACTCAGCTTTCCTCTTTTGTAGCTTCATAGCAAGAATCACAACCTAACACTGCATTTTATGTCTGTTTATTATGTGACTTTTTTTAGTTCCTGCTAGAATTAAAGCTCATAAAGGTAGGGACACATTTGCCTTTTTGATTAAGTTATCTGGAATAGCATGTAGCACTTAGTAGGAGCTAAATAATTATTTGACAAATAAATGGATACATTCATTGATGAATTTGATGTCCACATAAAGGCTATCTTTATTTAAATAAACCCGTTATTTCCATGAGTCACTTGCTCCTCCTGCTACATGTAGAGAACTATCATTCAGGATTTCAGTTGAGTTCTAAACAGTTGGATACTTCCACAATCAGGGATCTTCAATTTCTCCACTTGGTGTTTTATTCAACAGAAGTGCCTTTGGACATTCACACTTGATCTTCCAAAACCACATCAGCTTCTAGAACAATGCTTCTAGACAGTTTCTTAGTAACCCCTCAAAGACGTGATTTCACATTTTTATCAATGTATAATTTTATTTAAACTGAAATGACATAATATTACTGTGTCAAATATTATAGAGAAAGTTGGCCATCTTTGCATATGCTATTTTCCATTTGAGTTTCTTCTGTGAATTACTGTTCATCTACTTTCCAATATCTCAGCTAGGTTATTTAATCCATTGATTTGAGCAGTACTTTATTTCTTCCTTTGTGTAATATATGTATTGAAAAATATCCAAATATACTTCATAACTATGTTGCCCAAATTTTGTAATGCATACTAACAAATATCTACCTGTTATATTCATTTTTAAGAAATATACTAAAATGTAATAACTTGTACTTTTCCCATCCCACTTTGCTTTTCTAAGCAGTATTTATGTATTTCAACTTTTTTTACAGTTTAAATACAATATACTTAGGTGTAGGTTTTCTTTGTTTTTTTTTTTAAATACAGGGATTACCTACAGAGGAACTAAACATAGTAATATAATAAAATTGCAAGAAGGATGCCAGAGACATAAAATTGTTGGTGGTCTAAATTATCTGCTTTCAGATAATTAGATAACTGATGTCTAAATTAATACCCCACATACACAAAGATACACATATTACCATTAAAAGTCATTGAGCTGGGGATAATGCTAGTGGAGGAAAGGAATGGCATGAAGGGCTCTTGTTTTCATTAAAATACATCTTTATTGTTTAATCCTCAAACTATATACAGGTATCCTGATAAATTTAAAATACTGATTGCAAAATAAAATTTAATTCTTACTGAAATATCAAGAATGCTGCAGATGGTGGCAGAATGCTCAATGTGAAAAAGGATAGTGGCTTGCATTAGAATGACAGCAGCGAAGTTTGTTTTAAGCATGTAATTTTATAGTACCAATCTCTTATCTGTGAAAGCGTGTAAAAGACTGAGCTCTTCAGTTCTCAAACAAAAGCAGACTTTAACTCCTGCTCCAGTCATGCTTCTTTGCTTCTCAAACACCCACAACCACATCTCAGATTGCATCATATTTTGAACACATGGAAGGAAGAGTAAGGGAAATAAGAGTGGCTGGGTTACCACCCTCAAGAAATGCTGATCCCTCAAATCTAGACCTGCCAAGGGGCCAGGAGAGAAGGGAAAGCAGCAGCTCCCTTGAATTTTTAAAGTGCAATGTCCCCACCTACTGGTGAAGATGACCCAGTTAACATCCCTACAGCTGTCAATGTCTTCCTAGGACATTGACTTCTTCTAGTAGAATCAGTGTGCTTCAGCTCAGTTTTACACCAGAAGATAAACAAAATATAAATCCAAGATTTTTGCAGTGCAGTGGAGGTCTCTGAGGGTGTTGCAATGAGAATTTTAAACACAAAGCTAGTTTTAAAATAACACCATAATTAGCAGCCCCTTTCCCTAGTATCTATCTACTCCTCACAGCTTCTGCTCAGATTGTCTTCTCTCCATTGTCTCTTCCATCGCCCTGTACAAATCTCCTCTCTTACACTGCATTTCCTGCCCACACCCTGCTTCCCCATGCGTTAAGTTAGCAGCCTTTTTTCCCTCTTGTTGTTTTCTGCCTTCTGATATTTCAGATAAGAAATCTGTTTCTGGGCCGGGTGCGGTGGCTCATGCCTGTAATCCCAGCACTTTGGGAGGCCAAGGCGGGTGGATCACCTGAGGTCAGGAGTTCTAGACCAGACTGGCCAACATCGTGAAACCCCATCTCTACTAAGAATACAAAAATTATTCATTGGTCATCTACTTGGTGTCCAGCACTAGGTTATTCCTAAGTATCACTGAACTTTGTGATAACGCTGAAGATATGTTTG